>NC_000022.11:29164109-29315624 GCF_000001405.40 Homo sapiens | reverse complement strand
GCACCGCTGCGGGACCCGCGCCGCGAGAGGGGCGGACTTCGGCGCCTCGCGCGTCCGCCGGCGCCTGGGTTGGCGCTGCGGGGCGGAGGCGGTGTCTGAGCGCCGCTCCGGCTCTGCTCTCTCTCGAGCTTCGGCACCCGCCCGAGCCGCTCGCGCGCCCGCCACCTGTCTGCCCACTCGGCTGTCTGTCTGCCCTCCCGCCGCCAGCTCCTGCCTCGGGCCTGCCCTCTCCGGTCTCGGTGCTCCGAGGGGCGACGAGAAGCGCGACGGGGCCGTGGCGCACCGGGCAGGGCGCGCGGGGCGCACGGCCTGGGGGCGCACGGTGCGGCGCCGGCCCATGAGGCTTTCCAGCGCGGGGAGCGACAGCGCCGGCCGGCCATGGGGGGTAGCCTGCGGGTGGCCGTTCTAGGCGCCCCGGGCGTGGGCAAGACGGCCATCATCCGCCAGTTCCTGTTCGGTGACTACCCCGAGCGCCACCGGCCCACGGACGGGCCGCGCCTCTACCGACCCGCGGTGCTGCTCGACGGCGCCGTCTACGACTTGAGCATCCGCGACGGCGACGTCGCTGGCCCCGGCTCGAGCCCCGGGGGTCCGGAGGTAGCGGCTCGAGGAGCGGGCAGGGGCGTGTGACAGTGTGAGGGGTGTGCGTGCTCGGTGCACACGTGCGTGTCCGCGTGGAGGCCTCGGGCGCCTGGCTGTGCTCCGGGATGGAGGGATGTGTGTGCGTCCTGGGATACTTGCGTTTCAGCCCTTCCCGCCGACCTGGAGACGCCCAAGCCCAGGCTGGAGGCCGGGCGATTTTGCCCAGGGGCGTTCCCTTGCTCCTGTGAGCGCCTCCACCTTTGCCTGCCTCGGCTGGGGGTGTGGAGCAGCTCTTGGTGGTGCATAACGGTGCCTTCCCGAGAGTGTGGCGTTTTGTGTTTGGGGCCTTGAGCAGAGCTACAATGGGAGAGACTGGGGTCAGGAGCAGGGGTGTACTTTCTACGGGGGCTGGTGGAGGGGTTCATTCTCTGCCCTATCATTTTTGTCCCCTGGAGCGAAGACTCGTTTAGTAATTTGTGCAAAGTAAAGGACAGACCTCCGACCCTAGAGCAGTGAAGAGGAAAGAGCAGGCAGGATTAAGCAGGGCTTCCTGGAGGGAGTGGCATTTGAGCTGAACCTGGAAGACCGAGTGAAGTTCTGAGTAAAGGAAGTGGCAAAAACATACCAGGTGGAAAGACCAGCAGGTGCTTACGCTACGGTCATAAACGGTTACAGCTGACAATCTGGGGGCGTGGTGGACCACGGGACTCGGGCCAAGGGCTTTGGAATTAGTCTTAGAGGCCGTGGTAAGCACCGAGAGCATCTAGGGAGGAGAGCGGCCTGAGCCGAGTTGGGGAAAGCTGAAAAGAGGAAGATTCGGGGTAAACAGAGGGGAGACCAAGGATGAAGGAGGCTGGCTGACAGGCTCCAGGCACGATTTGGAAAATTTTACCCTGGTGGTCATGAGGAGACGGCCCGGAAAGCTTGGGGGAGGGGCACAGAGGTCTGTATGGGGGTGATGTTGGCCTGAGGATTAGCGTCCAGGCCCCTGCAGAGGGTTCGAGAGCGGAAGAGTGGAAAGGAGGCTTCCGCAAACCCTGGCCTCCTGTCCCCAGGAGTGGCCAGACGCTAAGGACTGGAGCTTGCAGGACACGGACGCCTTCGTGCTCGTCTACGACATCTGCAGCCCGGACAGTTTCGACTACGTGAAGGCCCTGCGGCAGCGCATCGCGGAGACCAGGTAGGGGCCCGGCAGTTCTGGCGGTGGGGAGCTAGGACAGGTCTGGCAGGGCCTTTGCCTGAGGAGAGTGTGTAGGGTCTCCCAACGTCGTGGGCCGGGTCTTAGGCCTTCGCCCGTGGGAAGGTCTTAAGCTGTATGTGCTCTTTGGCCCACATGGGCCTGGGGTTTCGTTGGGGCGGCGGGGGGGGCGGTGTCTCTGGCCGTAGGAAGGGAATGCGCCTGCGTGTGTATACCCACTGGGGGAATTCTCCGGCCGTGGGGTCCCCGCGTCTCTCATCTCCATTCGGCCCCCAGGCCGGCGGGCGCGCCCGAAGCGCCCATCCTCGTGGTAGGCAACAAGCGGGACAGGCAGCGGCTGCGCTTCGGACCGCGGCGCGCGCTGGCCGCCCTAGTGCGCAGGGGCTGGCGCTGCGGCTACCTCGAGTGCTCCGCCAAGTACAACTGGCACGTGCTGCGTCTCTTCCGCGAGCTGCTGCGCTGCGCTCTGGTGCGCGCGCGCCCTGCACACCCGGCCCTGCGCCTGCAGGGGGCGCTGCATCCCGCGCGCTGCAGCCTCATGTGACCCGATCGGACAGTGCCATCCATGGGCCCCACCTTGTGACTGGGACAATCAGGGACCTGGATTGGACGGGATCGCCCAACTTCACTGGGACTGGACAGGGAAGTCTCCGCCCTGATTGGATGAGGAAAGCTCCAACCCAGTCTCCTAAGCGACTGGCCCCCTTTTGAACCTCATTGGACCCAACCAGGTCCCAAGCTCCATTGGAGATGACCAGTCCTTTCTGGGACCTCAATGGGTCACAATCCCATTGGATGGAAAGGACTTGGCTATGAACTTGACTGGAAACACGCAGCCTGCTCCTGGAGCTTCACTGGACATATTCTTTATGCCACACCTACCACGGGATAATAAAAGGGAAAATAATTTGAGTGCGCCTGGGATTTCTGGGCTGGGCGGGATAACGCCTTAAGCCTAGAGGTCAGAGTTGCCAGGCTTGGCCTCCAGGCAGTTAACTCCAGGGTCCTCGAAAGGGTCTGAATGGCCCCAAGGTGGAGTCCCCAAGAAACAGACAGGTGGCTGGAGCAAAACTTTACTGTCAGAGGCTCTGCTGGGCCACAGGTCTTCAGAACACCGGGCTCGCCCGGCCTCCTCTAAGGCATTCAATAATATTAGTAATTAAATAGCAACGCTCATCCCCCAACCGGAATGTACAACAGAGGTCCCATTGTGCCATGTGGTCCCAAGGGGTCTGGTCCCATGAGGTCTGGTACTCAAGAGGCAGAGGGGGCTCCCTGATGCAGAAGGGTTAAGGCCACAAAGGAAAAGGAGAAGGGATGGGGTCTGGGGACAGCTGAGCTGGTCCATCACATCCAGGAATCTGGCTCAGCCCTCGGGGTGACTGAGTGCAGGGCATGCCATGTCCCCAGCTCTGCGGGTCCGGAGGGGCGGCGGGGGCCCCGAGGCGTGGGGATACGTGAGGGTTTACGGTCTGGCTGTGTGTCCATCCGACCCCGTGCCCAGGTCCTCGAGGGTTCAGTGCAAGCCAGGGGGCTCCCAGGTGCATCTAGTGGCCCCCCCATGCCAGGGCAGGGGCTGCCTTCATCGGAGGAGCTGGAAAGGGCTTGGCTTCGGGGCCCAGGCAGCCCATTGGCCGTCCGGCCAGAGTCCCCAGGTTGGCCACATTTGCCACCCAGGACGCTGAGGGACGAAGAGGAGGAACTGGAGGAACAATAGGCAGAGTCAGGAGCTGGAGGGTCGGGGGCCCGAGCTGGGTCAGGGGCTGGTCCAGTGGGGGTCACGCTAGCAACAGCCTCAAGGGCCCGGGCATTGGCCAGGAACTCCTCTTCCAGGCGCCGGAACAGCTGCTGCTCCTGCTGCGGGTCGAGCTGCAGGGGTGTGCGGAAGATGCTGGCCGGTGTGGTGCCCAACTCTGGACTGGGGCTGGAGACCCGGGAAAGCCGGGGTGCTGCAGGGCTGCGGGCACGGGGAGTCTGGGGGGTGCTCCTGCCCGAGCCCCCACTGCCCCTGCCCCTTGGCACCCATGAGTGCTGCCCGTCTCGATCCCTGCGCACAAGCAGCACAGCCTGCTCCTCGCGGCTCTGGCTCCGGGCCCGCCGGGCAGGGCTGGGGACCGACAGCTGGGCTCCCCTGCCTCCTGGGGCCCCCCGGGGCCGGCCGCGATCCAGCCGGTCTCGGGACTGGCTGCGCAGGGCAGGAGGCCGTCTCGGAGAGGCCGGGGTGCCTGTGGTCAGCCGCCGGCTGGGTCGCTCCCTCCGGGGGCCAGTGCCTGTGTCATCACTGCGGGTACCAAGGGGGCCGCTCTGGGCGGAGGAGGCTGAGGAGTCACTGTCCCCGGAGTAGCGGCGGGAGCGGGGATGGGGGGGCAGCTGATCCCGGGGCCTGGGGCAGGGGGACAATAGAGACAGATGGGGTACCACGGAAGGACTGGCATGCAGAACAGGCAGGGAGAGGAACAGCAGGGTATGTGGCTGGTGGACGGGGCTGTCAGGGGCATCGGTCTGTCCTGGGGACTTCCAGGGAGAAGTGAGCAGCTTCCTCCAGCGGCCCAGGGCCCCAAAAGCCACGGAAGAAGAAGTTTCCTGGGCTCTAGACACCCCCCTTCCCAGGACGGGCCAGAGGAAGCAAGAGCTGGACTGGCTGCCGCCCAGCCACAGGGCCCGCCCCAGCTGTGTTGTTGGTTTGGTTGGGTTGCCATGGAGATGGGAAGCCAGGCCCGCCCCCACCCACGGGAACTTTTCCCAGGGTGTGAGTCACTCTGGCGCACAGGCAACCCATCATGCAGGCCAGGGCTGACGCCCCCCCACCCTCTGGACCCCTCACTCCTCGTCCTCCTGCATCTCACCTGGGTGGGGTCTCGGGCCCCTCCTTTGTGCTTCGTAAGCTAACGGGAGTCATCTCAGGCCGGGAGCCCCGGCGCTCACTCCCAGGGACTGGGCTAGCAGGGCGGGGACTGGTGGTGGGCGACACCCTCTGTGGAGAAAAGGTGCAGACCCTCGGCTGGGGTGGGCGATGAGCTGCGGGGAGAGAGGACAGGCAGCATGTGAGGGACAGAGCCACAGAAGCAAGTCCCCTGCCCGTCCAGCCCCAGCCCCACCCTGGCACTGACCAGTGGAGGAGCAGCGGCACGGGTCGTGCTTGTCCAGGTAATGCTCCAGCGTGTCCCAGCCACCACCCACTCGCACCATCACGTGGCTCCTCAGCACCTGCAGGTGTGGGCAGGTCACGGCTGTGCCCCGGGCGCCCCGCAGCCCACCACCTTGGCTGCTGCCCGCTGGGGCGGCCCCAGGCCCTTACCCGCACAAAGATGAGCAGGCTCGAGTCCCCCACACGGTACTTCCCCTCTGAGACCTTGATCATGGGAAACTGGTCAGGGCAGGTGCAGCGGCCCAGAATCTCCCTCACCTGAGGCCAGAGAGAGAGGGTAGGGGTCAGAGGTCAAGTCCTCCTCCTGGGGCTTAATGTCAGCCATTCCAGGGTCAGGAGGAAGTCAGGCTTTCCGGGTAAGTGGATGGAGGCAGTGTTGCCCCGGATGGGGTACAGCTTCCACACGTGACCTTTCTTTTATTTTTTTTATTTTTTTTTATTTTTTTTTTTTTTTGAGTTGGAGTTTTGCTCTTGTTGCCCAGGCTGGAGTGCAATAGCACGATCTCGTCTCACCGCAACCTCCGCCTTCCAGGTTCAAGCAATTCTCCTGCCTCAGCCTCCTGAGTGGCTGGGATTACAGGCATGCACCACCACTCCCGGCTAATTTTGTATTTTTAGTAGAGATGGGGTTTCTCCATGTTGGTCAGGCTCAGGAGTTCCACCCGCCTCGGCCTCCCAAATTGCTGGATTACAGGTGCGAGCCACCACGCCCGGCCCACACATGACCTTTCACCGGCTCCCCTTTCTTGGCTCTCTGGGTCCAGGGAGCTGCCCAGGATGAGATGATGGGACTGTGGTCAGGCCATGGTCTGAGACCCGGTGACGAACATCCCACAGCCCCTAGACCTGGGGAAGGCCCAGAGCCCGTCCTCACTCCCGCTTCACCCACTTCTCAGACAAGAAGGCTGGGGCCCACAGGAAGGCCAGGCAGGCTACAGGACACAGGTGCAGGGGGCCCCATGCCCCTGGGTGGGCACTGATGTGGAGGCGTACCACAGACACATCGGACACATGCACACACAGACCACTGGCCGGGTGAGCACGCACCACATACAGCCCCCCACCAGAGCCAGAGCGCTGCCAAGCTGGCTATGTGGGCAGCCCTGCCCGCCTCCCCGCCCACAGCGGCAGTGGTGCCGCCAGAGGAAATAAGCAGGTGGGGCCTTGAGTGACCCTGGTCCAGGACAGGGGGTGGGGCCCCAGGCTCTGCCCACTGCCATCCGCTATCTGCCTCCCAGGCAGGCACATTGTAGTCCTGACCTTCTGATAAGAAGGAAACTCTTGGTCCAGCCCTCAGGGGTGGCAGGGGCCACCCAGATCCTGGGAGAGGAGAGACTTGGGGGCAGGGCCCAGCAACGCCTATGCTTAGAGTAGAACGAATCCTGTAATTCCAAACAGGATCCCTGCTCCCAGCAACAGCAGCAACCCAGCTAGGCTTCCCAGGGGTGCCTGGGGAGTGGGGAGACCTGCAGAGCCCCCTGGGGCACCTACTGTGTGCCAGGCACCTTGCCCAGGTTTTTCCATGCCTCGTCTCAACCGAGCATCACAGCACCCGCTCAACCTCGAGCCTCCATGAGGTTGTGGGTACATCTGCCTAAGACTGACTGCAGGGAGGGCACAGAGGAGGCGCCCCGATCATGCGGCCCCCCAGAAGAAGGAATGCACAAGCTCAGTTGAGGCACAGTTAGCACACAAAGTGAGGGAAGATCGTGCCAGGAGCCCGCATCCTGTCCCAGGCCCGGCTGGGCTGCGTCATCTCCCCGGCACCTCCCTCTCTGTGGGCTACCCATTTCCTTGGGGTCAGGTATACATTCCTCGGTTTGGTGCTCAACATGTGCACTCTTTTTGTGGGGCAGACTGTTCTGCAGATAGCAGGGTGGACCCTGGGAGGTTCAGGGACAGATTGCAGGCACTGGCTGTGCTGTCGGGTCCCTGGCACCTGGTGCTGGGGGACTCACCAGCTCGTCGAGGTTGCGCAGGTCGCTGGGTGTCATGCGGGGGCCGCGGGCAGGAGTCCCTGGTGCGGGGGCGGTTTCAGTGGTGTCCTCCCCAGCGGCAGGGGCGTTGGGGGCTGGGGGTGCAGCACGCAGCTCCCGCTCAATCTCCTGCTCAAACTGCACGAGGCGTGGGGCCAGCAGGCCCAGGCGTGCCCCACGCCGCGCCACCTCCAGCAGGCACAGCACCACGCTCTTCTCGTTCTTGCGCAGCACCAGGTCCTCAGTCTCAAACATGAGCACCTCCGGCACACCCAGCTCCACGCGGCACCAGCCGATGAAGGTGGCCACGTTGTCGCGCGCCATGAAGGAGCCAGGCACTACACTGTGCGCCTGGAAGGCCACACCTCGGGCCGGGCGGGCGGCTGCCAATGCACGGGCAGCCTCGGTCACGGCGTTGGCATGTTGGCACAGGGTCGTGCCCGTGGCCAGCCCTGTCAGGAAGCCATCGCCACCACCCGGGAGACCCAGGCCGTACAAGGCATTGAGCCACTCGGCCAGGTCCTCCTTCATGGCCTCCACGTAGGCCTCACTGGAGCGAAATGGCCGCACGCTCTTGGCCGCCGAGCCCGCGATGCCCGCCACTGGGTCTGCCATGCCCGGACCGGCCGAGTCACTGTGGGCAGGAACACAGTTCAGGATCGCTGTGGGGACCCAGTAAGCGCTCAGTACAAATTAAGCTGCTGGCCACCTGCACCAGTCTGTCACTCAGGCCAAATGCCTGGTTTACATGTTGGCTCTGGGAAATGTCGGTGCCCCAAGTTTCCTCATCTGCGAAATGGGTACAGTAACATTCCCTGCCTCATAGGACTCTATGGGATAATTTTTATAAATTTAGGGTCCATTAAGTGTTTGCTGTGTGGCTTTTTGCGGTGGAAACTGGGGCTTGGCTGGGGCCTCCCTCTCAGGCAGGGAGGCGCGCCCATTGTGAAGGGCTGGGACCTAGAGAAGTGAAGACAACGGCTAAGGCCCCCAGTGGACACGAAAGGAACCCAGGTCCTGACCTCAGAGTGGGTTATGTGCATGGCTTAGGGCTGGTGCCCACCCCATGTCCTGCGGGAAGGTCCCCGTGCCTTCCTTGGCCCCCCTTCCATAAGGGCTGTGCCGTCATTAACGACATAGCAGCAGCAATAGTGTAACAGCACGACCGCGCTCGGGCTCAGCGCGCGGAGGCATTATCTCCATTTTATAGATGAGGAAACTGAGGCGCAGAAAGGGTCGAGCTCGTGAAGGTCGCAGAGCTGTGGGTGGAGGAGCCCGGCGTCCAGGCGGCGCAGCGTGGCCGGTCTCGGCGATCCGGGGCCAGGGCCAGGCCCCGCCTCCTCCAAGAAGCCTCCCCAGCGCTCCAGGCCGGTGCCTGCGGGGCCAGGACTCAGAGCGGCCTCCGCAGGCCCTGCCGGTGCTGGGGCTCTGGGCCCAGAGAGGGTGCGGGGCCGCCCAAGGTCACACAGCCCCGGGGAACAGAGGCCGAGGACGCCGCTTCCCGCCCCGCCTCCCCACCCCCGTCCATGCGCACCAGGCAGGGAGTGCTGGGGGTCTCCGCGCTCACCTGGCTCATCCCGCGGCCCCGGGGAGCATTGCCCCAGCGGGGGCCGGAGCCGGGCCGGGCCGCCGCAGGGAGGCGCCGCCCGAGCCGCAGCTCTATGCGTCCCGCGCCGCGGCCTCCTCCTCGCCGCCGTCTCCGCCCCGCCTCCCTGGAATTCGGATCCTGCCCGGAGGGGGCGGGCGGGGCCGCGCGCTCTTAAAGGGGCCGCCCCTTCCCCGAGCCGGCGGGAGCTGGGGTGGAGCTGGGGTCTCCCCCCGCCCGCGATCGGGCCAGGAATCCCGGGTCTTCGAGCGCTCTCGACGCAGAGAGCCCCAGGGCCCCCAGACAACTGCGACCGGCCCAGGCGCCCAACCCCCACCCAGCCTAGTACCCGGGGCCCCGTCCAACCTCTTTGGTCTCCTGGGGAGGAGGTTGGGACCTTTTAATCGCCCCCCTCCCCAGACGGTGGGCTCCCCGGGCTGGCGCACAGCACGGCCTGTTCCCAAGATGAAGGCAGGAAGCGATAGCGGCTGGAGGCTGCAAAGTCACCTCCTCCCGGGTGGACCTCCCCTGGCCAGATAAACGGCACCGCCGCGGGGAGGGGGAGGATGCCCCTGGCGACTGAGGGCTCCTTGTGCTCACTGAATGCTCATTTTTGACCCTGAAATGAGGGGAACCGGTTTTACAGATGAGGATACTGAAGCTCAGAGAAGTAGGCAGATGGCCAAAGCCGGAGTTCCGCACAGAACAGGGGACGGGGGGCATCGGAGGCCGGCCGGACGCGGGAGGGTTAAGCCCCGCTGGGCTCTTTTTAAACTGCAGAGGACGGACCGCCGGGATCAGCGGGAAATCCTGCCCCCTGCTGCTGCCGGCTGGGCTGGGCGGGACGTCGGGCGGGTCTGGGCGGCAGCCATGCTACACGGGTGGGGCAGGCCTGCAGGGAAGCCGCCAACCACAGCCAGGCTCAGAGCTCCAATAAATCTCCTACTGTGTGCTGCCAGGACTGCTCTGCGCCCTTGACCTGAATGAACTGGTGTGTCACCTCTGTGAAGGACACTCATGCCCAACTGGGGCACAGTCAGGAGAGCAGCTGGTGGAGCCAGGATTTGAACATGACGATTATGGGGACGCCCTCATCCACGGATCAGCAGCATTGGTTGAGCACCTGTGAGCCAGGCCTCTTGGTGCCAGGCATTCACAGGCATCCCAGAGAGTCCTTGTGACCTTTTCTTTTTTATTTTCTTCCTTTTTTTTTTTTTTTTTTTTTTTGTCTCGCTCTGTCGCTCAGGCTGGAGTACAGTGGCTGGATCTGGGCTCATTGCAACCTCTACCTCCGGGGTTCAAGCGATTCTCCTGCCTCAGCCTCCCGAGTAGCTGGGATTACTGATACCTGCCACCACGCCCGGCTTTTTGTATTTTTAGTAGAGACAAGTTCACCATGTTGGCCAGGTTGGTCTCGAACTCCTGACCTAAGGTGATCTGCCCGCCTCCACCTCCCAAAGGGCTGGGATTACAGGTGTGAGCCACTTGCCTGGCCTGTGTGACCTTTTCAAAGGCGTTTTCTCACCTCAGCGCCCCCCATGGCACTTCCTCCAGTGAGGAAGGCAGTAACTAGCAATCCTCAAGGCTGACACCTGCGTGGCACCTACTGTGTGCTGGGTCTCTTTGGGCACTGGAAATCAACAGCAAAACAGCAGGGAACCAAGCAGAGCCAGCTCTCAGGGCCTGTTGTCCAAGTCTGGCAGGGAGGCAGCCCCAGGGCAGAGACAGGGATGAGGTGCAGAGAAGACAGGGATGGAGCCGGGTGAGGGTGTGGGTGTGAGGGGGCTGCAATTTAAAATCCCTCATCAGGAAAGGAAGTGAGGGAGGAAGGTCGGGGATATCTGGAGAGGGAGAGGGAACGGCCAGTGCAAAGGCCCCATGGTGGGCATGTGTCCGGCGTGCTCAAGAAGACTGGGGAGGTGGCTGAGGCTGGAGTGCAGGGAGGTGGGTGAGGGAGGAGGTAGAGAGATTAGAGAGACCCCAGGGCCGGTTAAGCAGGGCCTTGGGGGCCGTGTCTCTTTTGAGGGACATGGGAGCCATGCAGTGATTTAGAGCAGGGGTGGTTGGCTTAGGTCTTAACATTCCCGGCCGGGCGCGGCGGCTCACGCCTGTAATCCCAGCACTTTGAGAGGCCGAGGCGTGCGGATCACGAGATCGGGAAATCGAGACCATCCTGGCTAACATGGTGAAACCCTGTCTCTACTAAAAAAATACAAAAAAATTAGCCAGGCGTGGTGGCGGGCACCTGTAGTCCCAGCTACTTGGCAGGCTGAGGCAGGAGAAGGAGAATGGTGTGAACCTGGGAGGCGGAGCTTGCAGTGAGCCCAGATCGTGCCACTGCACTCCAGCCTGGGCGACAGAGCGAGACTCCGTCTCAAAAAAAAAAAAACATTCCCTGGGGCTGCTGTGGTGGGCCAGGGCAGGAGCTGGAGCCTCAGAGGAAACCAGGTGGTGAGAGGGCGCTGGATTCTGGCCATATTGTGAGGGGAGAGCTGATGTGCTGGTGGATTGGTTGAGTGTGAGGACGGAATCCAGGACAACTCCCAGGGCTGAGCACTGGGAGGGCGGAGGTGCTAACACCTGGGGAGGGAAGGGCTGCTGGAGGTGGAGGAGGGTTGCAGGTTTGGGGTGGGGGTGAATCAGGGTGTGGACATTTAACAGTTTCATCTTCAAAATACCCCGATGAGCTATGATACTCTTAGGTGTTCTCATTTTACAATTTGGGGAAACTGAGGCCCAGAGAAGGCATGGGATATGTGTAGCCAGCAGCTGTGCAGGAATTTGACTCCTGCTTATACCTACCTTGCTGCATTTTGGGGTTTTGGACATGGGTGAAGTTGGACGGAACCCAGGCTCTGTCATTGGTCATTGGGTGGGATGGTGAAGCTCCCTGAGCCTCAGTGGCACCATCTGCAGAATGGGACAGTAGTAGTAGTTACATCATGGGGTTGTGAAAAATAATGCCACTACCCAGCTCAGTGTGGCCTGGCTCAGCATATCCACTTCTCTGGGGAGGAGGGATTATAAAGAAATTCCTTCTGCTGGGCGCAGTAGCTCACGCCTGTAATCCCGGCACTTTGGGAGGCCGAGGCGGGTGGATCATGAGGTCGGGAGATCGAGACCATCCTGGTTAACACGGTGAAACCCCGTCTCCACTAAAAATACAAAAAATTCTCTGGGTGTGGTGGCGGGTGCCTGTAGTCCCAGCTACTCTGGAGGCTGAGGCAGGAGAATGGCGTGAGCCCGAGAGGCGGAGCTTGCAGTGAGCAGAGATCAGAGATTGCGCCACTGCACTCCAGTCTGGGCGACAGAGCGAGACTCCGTCACACACACACACACACACACACACACACACACACACACACACACACGAGATTCCTTCCTCCTTCTCTCCCATGAGCTGTGGCTTGTGATAAGAGGCCTGTTCTAGACCACAGCCTCCCACCTGATTCTAGGACATGTAGCTGCTATGATGCAGACCTCACTGGGGGGTCAGACCCCTGGCCCAGGGCATGGTAGACCGTAGCTTTGACCCCCTCTGTCGTGTGGTGGCCCAGGGCCTGTGGGGCCACCTCTGGGAAAGCCTCAGCCTCTACATGGTCTCCCTTGTTCCTTGCAGGACCAAGAGAAACCACAGAAACTGCTGGAGGGACAGGAGGTTTGGGCTATAGAGACCCTGAGCCCATCTGCACGGACCCTTGAGGCCACCCACCTCTATGCACAGAATGCTGTGGCTCCCATGTGGGCTCCTTCTGGCCTTTGGCCAGAGGGCACATAGCCAGTTTCTTGCGCCCACTGCTGGGTGCCAGCCAGCAGCCTGCTTGGCCTTGGTTGCAGCTAGAGGTCAGATGATGGCTGTGGCAAAACTCTCATTGTGGCCTACATCCCTGCTACCGGGCAGCTCCAGGAAGCTCTGGCACTGGTTGGATTAGAACTCCAAATTCTCCAGTCTGGACTGAGGCTCTGAGCACAGCCCAGGCTAAGTGAGGGACTCGCAGGAGGCTTCCGGCTGCTGTGTCCAGGTGTGGGCTCAGCTCCAAGGACACCTGCTGGTCAGCTCCTGCTCTGGCTGTGGGACAGGTGACCCTGAGCTGCCTCCAGTGCCCTTCACAAGAGAGACGCAAAACTGGAAAACCCAAGTGGGCTCTTTCCAACCTGCCTGCATCACACTGTCCTCACTGCCGGCCCTGCGCCCAGCAGATCTGTCAGGAGTGGGGTAGGAGGGGACAGCACGAGGGCCAGCTGTTGTCCCTGTCACAGACTGCACAGTCCTCAGCCCCACAGCTGCTGGTACTGCTGTTGCTGCAGCCCTGTGCTCTTCCCCGTCGAGCAGGGGAGCCACTCCCTGTGGGCATAGATCAGTCTCCCCATGGACCCCGCCACCTTTGCCCAGGCCTGTGCCATGTGGCCTCGTGGGACCTCAAGTTTGTGTTGGCAACTTTTAGTCTAGGTGCTTTTGGGGAGTTTGACCAGGGTGTGGGTAGAGACTAGGCTTTTTCTCCACCTGCTCTGCTCTCTGCCCTGCCCACCTCCTTCATGCCCTGGCACCAGCCAGCTTCCTGCCGCCCTTTGAGACAGGCTTGGCATCCATGCTGCCTGAGGGAATCTGTGCCCAGAGCATCCAGAAGTTTCTTTGGGCTGAGAAAAATAGACCTGCCTGCTGTAAACATCTCTACCAGGGCTATTTAGTGCCAGTGACAAACCCCTCTCGGGCAGGGACATAAGGCTACTCCTGGGGAGCCTATGCAATGCCAGAGTCTGACAGATGCTTGTGCAGTAGCAGCTTCCAGAGCAGGCTGCTTGTCTTCCCTTAGTGCTGGCAGCATGCGGGTCATGTCAGAGCACCCATCCTTTTCAGAAGCAGGTGCCTGTATACAGTGGGTTGGTGGGAGGGTGAGCGTGCGGGGCCTGGAGGGCGACCACCCTTAGCTCAATTCAGGCCTCTCAATGGCAAGTCCTCCCTTGACCTCTCTCTTCCCATCTCAGCTGACGTGTGGCTGTCCTATGTTACCTGCCTTGAAGGTTATTAGGAATTAAACGCACAGAGGTACTTAGCGCAGTGCCTGGCACGACGCAGGGACCCAGTGATGCCCTAGTCGAGTTTGGGCCTCCTAGGTTATGTGTGCATCTTGGCTCTGACACACCAAGGCTGCGGTGAGAGCGTCCTCGGCCCCTTGAGGAACAGTGCTGGACTGGCGTGCAAGGTAGAGCAGGGCAGCTGGGGTCCCAGAGGTCTTTTGGGGCATGGCAAGCGTGCTTGGAGCCACCAAATGGTTTTGAGACTGGAGATGACCTCCCGTGTCAAGTTGGTTTGGGCCAAGTGTGGTGGCTTACGCCTGTAATCCTAGCACTTTGAGAGGTCAAGGTGGGATGATCACTTGAGCCCAAGTTGAGACCAGCCTGGGCAACAGTGAGACCTGGTCTCTACAAAAACATCAAAAAAATTAGCTGGGTGCTACACCTGTAGTCCCAGCTACTCAGCTCAGGAGGTGAAGCTGTGATTGCACCACTGTACTCCAGTCTTGGTGAGAGCAAGACCATCTCAAACAACAAAAAACCCCACAAACCTTGGTCTGGCTTCTGAGGAAGGGCTGGAGATACTGAGGGGAGAAGCAGGGAACCCAGTGAGGGGGCGTTATGGAGGTGGGGGCTGTGGGTGGATTTGCACCGTCCTGGATTTGCAAGAGAGCTAGGTTGGGGGCTGGGGTTTGAGAATGGGTCATGGATGACTCCAAGGTTTGGGGCAGGTGTGTGTTTACTGAACTGGGGTGTAGGCAGGACGGGACAAGAGCAAGCCCTGCTCTACACCCATCATGCACCCAAGCCGAGTTGGCCCTAGGGAGAAAGGGCTAAAGCCACAGTATGGAAAGGACAGCCAGGCAGTGTGGCGGCTCAGGGGAGCGCAATGCTAGCTTTGGGGCCTTCCTGCATTTAGGGATAGGAGAAAAAGGAAGCAATGAAGGAGATGGGAGAACAGAGAAGGAAAGACCATTGATTGGGCAACATTAGAGGTGGTTGGTGACTGAGAGCTGCTTGTTTTAGTGCAGGTGAAGAATGAAGTGGGTTCCAGAGAGGGAGGGGTGGACAAAGCTCTTTCCATGTGCTTCCTGTAGAAAGGGCCAGGAAGATGGTTTGATGGAGGGAAGGGGATGATGGCTGGTTAAGGGAGGGTTTTCCAAACGCAGGGAGTCAAACACATATTAGAACAGGAAATGACCAGGGAAAGAAACAGCAGAGGTGCACACAATGCATGCCCAGAAGTGCTGGGGATGAGAGGACCCGACCCAGTCCGCCTGAGAGGGATCGTCCCTCACCTGAGGGAGCAGCCCCTTAGATGCTCCTAGTGCCTGATCCGTGATCCCATGGAAGGCAAAGTTATTTCCAGTTCTTCCTGTGCCTCCCTTACCTGGATCTCCCCTTGAACCTTTGGACACTAGTGGGTCTCAGAGGCTGCATCAGGGCCAGAGTCTGTTTCCATGTCACAACCGCTTATTTCCCCTCACACAAACCCTGAACCAACCGTTTACCTGGAAGGCACCCCTCTCCTGGGTGGGGTGGGAGCATGCTCCCAGCAGACACACAGTGACTGTGGAACAGAGGCCGAGAAGGATGACTCTTTATAAACATTTGGAATTTTATTTAAAAAAAAAAAAAAAACATCACAACCATGAACATTGTTACAGTTAAGAGGCCCTCTTGGTTCTCCACAATGATACTGAGCATGCTCACAAGGGGTTCCCATTGTTAAAGTCTTAAACAACCATTTTTAAAAGAAGGAAGAAAAAAAAACTCCGCACACTACCATTTAACTTGTTTTAATGTTTCTTCACAAATGGTGAAAAATACTAAAGTACAGACAAGGAATAATCATAATGTTGTGGCCAACATTATAAATATGGAATTATAAATTTAAAACATTTTCTGGTTTAAAAAATAAATCTGGTAGTCAATGCAGCTCTGCGGGGTCTCTGCATCTAGTAGGGCCGATCTCTGCGCTCCTGACGGTGCTCGCCTCTGCAAGGTAAAGAGGGCCCTTCGGTTAGAATGGGAAGGGGTGAGGAAGCCCTTCCAGAGCCCCCAGGTGCCCCTTCCTGGCTCCTCCCAATCGGTTAGAATGGGAAGGGGTGAGGAAGCCCTTCCAGAGCCCCCAGGTGCCCCTTCCTGGCTCCTCCCAACCACTATCACAAGCTTCCTAGAGACATGAGGACTTGCGCCAACCAAGCTGGGAAGGGCTGTCCTCTTACTGTGCCTGGCGGCCCACAGCTGCTTTTCACCAGCACTTACTTATCCATTTTTCCAGGTCCTCCACGTCCTCCTCTTCTTCCTCCCATCTGTTCCATCAAAGGTCCAGGGGGCCCCCCAGGGCCACCTCGTCTTCCTCCACCAAAGCCACCTCGGTCCATGCCCCGGCCACCACGGAAGCCACCTCTGTCTCCACCACGGCCACCTCTGAACATTCCACCGGGACCACCACGATCCATGAGGCCACCTCTTCCTCCCCGCATGCCACCAGGGCCACCTCTGCCACGATCACCACCTAAGGTGAGAATAGCAGGGCGAAAGCAGTCAGTGGGTGGCTGCAGAGGCCCTGTGGACACTGTGGAAGCTGCTCTGCTTCCTTCTCTCACAGCAGAACAAACCAGACACTTCACTCAATCTCGGCATCGGGCTGACAATTTAGAAATGAGGACACGACAACTCAAAGTTGTTAAGCAGAGGGCAACTGCAGTTTACCAAGCCCACAAATAAGAAAAGAGGTTTAGCACCAGGAAGCTGAGGGGACACTCATGAAACCTGCACCTACCCGGGGGCGGAAAGGGTGGCGGGAGGAAGCCTTCAGGCTTTGGGGCCTTACACTGGTTGCACTCTGTTCTCCAGGCGAAGTTCTGGTTTCCACAACCCCTGCATACAATTACATCACAGCAGAAATCACCAATTGAACTAAGGAAGATAAACAAGGAAAGGTGGTGTGTGAACAGGTACACACTCACTATCAAGAGGATCTATGTACACCCATGCTTTAGGGCACAGCCTCAGGCAGCATTGCACCCACAGGACAGGTCAAATCAATCTTCAGAAGGCTCTGAAGCGTCCAGTGAATGGCTGACTAGTGTCCCTAACCAGCCATCAGGGTCATCATTCTGTTCCTCTAGACAGAGCAATCCACTCTAGAGTGGGGATGGGGTGAGGGAAGGGTGGCTTCACTCGTAGGGTATCAATTTGCCAAGACAAGTACATACGGATTGGGACACTGCCAGTCTCCAGCTCGGTGCTGGACGTTTCCTCCTCCAGAGGGGTTCCCTCGGGAACCCCGGGGTCCTCTTGGAGGGAAGCCTCCTCTATCTCCTCCACGGCCTCCCATGCGACCCATGGGTCCCCCAGGACCTCCTGGGCCTCCTGGACCTACAACAAGAACAACAAGAAACAGCAAATCATTTCTCTGTAGCACCAAATTTGCTATAGGAAATAAAAATCACTAAGTAAACCCACAGATACTACTGCTGTCATTTCCCCATCACCTGTCCCGTGTTTCCGTGTGGCTCAGGCCATCAGCCCCCTTCCCTGTGAGGAGCGTGTTCCACGTGCTCTACAGAAACAGAGCTCCCACAATTTTTTTTTTTTTTTTTTGGAGACGGAGTCTCACACTGTTGCCCAGGCTGGAGTGCAGTGGCACGATCTTTGCTCACTGCAACCTCCACCCCCCCAGATTCAAACAATTCTCCTGCCTCAGCCTCCCGAGTAGCTGGGATTACAGGCATGCACCACCATACCCGGCTAATTTTTGTATTTTTAGTAGAGAGGGAGTTTCACCACGTTGGCCAGGCTGGTCTTAAACTCCTGACCTCAGGTGATCCGCCCACCTCAGCCTCCCAAAGTGCTGGGATTACAGGCGTGAGCCACTGCACCTGGCTGAACTCCCACAATTCTGTAAGGAATAGGCATGTCTATACAGACACAACCAAAGCTGAATAAATGGCAGTCTGGAGTTGACAGGCAGAGTGGCTTCCAGCCTCCCATGTTCTTCTCTTCCTTTTATTCCCAACAAACATTCATTGTTAGCTCTCGATAGTCTAGTATTGACTCTACACACAATTTTATATTTCTTCACTCTAATAATCAAGTTTCTCAAGGGTATGAAGTGTACTGAAAACCTTTTAATGCAACATAGGAGCTCAGAAAAAGTACCTCCACGGAGTGGTGGTGGCATGCCTCTGCCCTCACGGGGTGGCAGACCACCCCGCATACTGTTCATTGGAGGCTTCTTCCGAGCAAGGGAGACTTTAAGTTTGCTCCCTTGAAAATCTTTCCCTGGAACAAGACAACAGAACATCAATTACTCCCCTGTACTCCCTGTTCACCAACTCCACATCATCATCAAATGACCACTCCCAGATGCATTAGGTCTGCCTGTAATCTTCTCTAAGATCTTTAATGACAAGGCCAGAAAAAGGCTTTTTTTGAGATGGGAGTCTCACTCTGTTGCCCGGGCTGGAGTGCAGTGGCACAGCTCACTGCAGTTTCAATCTCACTTGCTCAAGCAATCCTCCCAAGTAGCTGGGACTACAGGCACGCATCACCATGCCCGACTAATTTTACAAAATTGTTTGTAGAGGCAGTGTCTCACTAGGTTGCCCAGGCTGCTAGTGAACTCCTTGGTTCAAACAATCCTCCTGCCTTGGCCTCCTGAAGTGGTAGGATTATAGGCAAGAGCCACTGTGCCTGGCCAGAAAAAGGCCATACTTAAATACACTTAAAAACCTTCCTACAGCCTGACCAACATGGTGAAACCCCATCTCTACTAAAAAATACAAAAGTTAGGCTCAGCGTGGTGACATGCGCCTGTAGTCCAGCAGCTACTCGAGTGGCTGACGCACAAGATTGGCTTGAACCTGGGAGGTGGAGGTTGCAGTAAGCTGAGATGGCTTGTGTCACTGCACTCCAGCCTGGGTGACAAAGTGAGACCATCTCAAAAAAAACAACACAAGCAAAAAACACTGTCTACCATAAGGAGGAAAATAAGCTGGTGGGAAGCTGACTGCATGACCAAGAAAACAGAACCAGGACTTGTTATTTGACACTTTCTTTGAGACAGAGTCTTGCTCCGTTGCCCAGGTTGGAGTGCAGTGGTGCAATCTCAGCTCACTGGAGCTTCAAACTCTCCGGGCTCAAGTGATCCTCCCACCTCAGCCTCCTGAGTGGCTGGTACTATAGGTATAGGAGTGTGCCACAACACCTGGCTAATTTTTGTATTTTTTTTGTAGAGACAGGGTTTTGCCATGTTCCCCAGGCTGGTCTCAAGCCCCTGGATTCAAGCAATGCACCGATGTTGGCCTCCCAAAGTGCTGGGATTACAGGTGCAAGCCACTGGACATGGCCAAGTCATTCAATGCTTTCAAGTTGGTTTTGTCTGAAGTGAAATCCCACCATTAATGTCAAGGCCTCATTTAAATATATATATTTATCTATATGCAAATGTACACTGGCTAAGATGTTCTTTTGAAGGGTTTTCTGTACCTTCTGATAATCTGTGCTTAGGAAGTGTTTGCCACTTTAAGCAAGGTTGATTTGTAATACTAATGCCTCAAAATAAAGGGATCTCCAAATCCAGGGTCAATGGCTGGGTGCTACTACTACTGCAGGGAGACCGGCCATCTACCTCCCCCAGGAAGAGATGGAAGGTCTTCTTGCTCCTATGGTTCACAAGTTTCTCCCTCATGCCATATTCTATAGCCAGGGAGATTAAGAATGCCAGTGAGTACATCTCACCATCAAACCATTCCACGGCAGCCTTGGCAGTGGGTGGGTCTTCATAGGACACTGTGGCATCGCCTTTGGGCTTTCCTGTTTCCTTGTCCAGGTAGATGTGGATCATGGGTTGCCCAGTTCTCTTGTTCATCTAGACAAAGAATAGCATAGTTAGGCATGACTAGAATATACTAATTTGGGAGAAAAAAGTCCAGGCAAAATCCAGGAAAAGTACCAATTTCTCACATGTAGTAAGTCACTAAATGTCACCGTTTCTCCGCTTTTAAGTTT
Source organism: Homo sapiens (assembly GCF_000001405.40). Lineage (NCBI taxonomy): Eukaryota > Metazoa > Chordata > Mammalia > Primates > Hominidae > Homo > Homo sapiens. Next base: position 29,296,098 of record NC_000022.11, on the reverse strand, counting down.
TTCAGAATTCTAAGTTATTTTCTCCTCTATCCCTGCTTTATCATAAAAACCAAAGTAGACCAAAGTGTGGAAGTGAACAGGATAGGCCCCACTCCTGCCTTAGCCATCTTCTGATGCTGGTTTGCCTGCCCTGGCATTTTCTATGCCCAGACAGGTATCCACTGAGCACAGCCACCTCGTAGGGGTAGTCAGACTTTGATACCACCACATAAGACATGACTGGCATAAAGAAAATTATCCTTAAACCGTGAAGGACAGTGTACAGGCTGTGAGTGAACTACAGGGATTCTTGGTTAGTCTAACACAGCCACTACTTCCTCCAGTTAGAACAGATGACTAGTCTTTCAGCTGAATATCAGATGTGGTTGACTTGAATTCAGGAGCTACCTTGTATAAGAATATCTTCACGTGTACTTTTTTGCATTATATATGCACACGATCAGTTTAGTCTGTAATTGTTTACATATATCCAGTAACACAAGAGCAATCTATTTATAGGACTTAAAAAAGATTACAACAGGATATATATATTGATACCTCTGACTTAAAAAAAGGAACGTGATACCTAAAAACTGAAAAGAAAATATGGCAAAACTGTGGTATGAATAATGTGGAAATGCATTTTTTTCTTTTTTGTGAGACAGAGTCTCACTCTGTTGTCCAGGCTGGTCTCAAACTCCTGGGCTCAAGCAATCCTTGGGATCCTCCTGCCTTGGCCTCCCAAAGTGCTGGGATTACACATGTGAGCCACTGTATCCAGCTTGGAAATCTATTTTAACATCTTTATTTCCAAAATTTTGATGGTAAATACTACTTTCTTAACCAGGATAAACTCCACATTCCTCAATAAACTACATGTTATATACATATTAAAAAGCAGTCTTTTTAATATGCTCAAGCCTGTACTCCCAGCTACTCAAGAGGCTTGAGGCTTGAACCCAGGAGGCGGAGGTTGCAGTGAGCTGAAATTGTGCCACTGCACTCCAGTCTGGGCAACAGAGCAAGACTCCATCTCAAAACAAAAAAGCAAACAAGGAGTCTTGCACAGGGTAGAATGTGACAGTAGACACTAAAAGCATTTTACTTTTGAGGTGTGTGTGATATCTGTGCACACACACACCTACAAGCAGGGAGAAATCACCTTATATAAGATTTACCAAAATCAACTGTATTTCCTTTTTTTTTTTGAGATGGAGTCTTGCTCTGTCGCCAGGCTGGAGTGCAGTGGCGCCATCTCAGCTCACTGCAACCTCTGCATCCTGGGATCAACTGATTCTCCTGCCTCAGACTCCCAAGTAGCTCAACTACAGGCGCGTGTCACCACACCCGGCTAATTTCTGTATTTTTAGTAGATACGGGGTTTCACCACGTTGGCCAGGATGGTCTCGATCTCTTGACTTCGTGATCCACCCACCTCGGCCTCCCATAGTGCCGGGATTACAGGCATGAGCCACCACGCCCGCCCAAAATCAACTGTATTTTTTTTTTTTTTTTGAGGCGGAGTCTCACTCAGTCACCCAGGCTGGAATGCAGTGGCGCCATCTCAGCTCACTGCAAGCTCCGCCTCCCAGGTTCATGCCATTCTCCCGCCTCAGCCTCCGAGTAGCTGGGACTACAGGTGCCCGCCACCAAGCCTGGCTAATTTTTTGTATTTATAGTAGAGACGGGGTTTCATCGTGTTAGCCAGGATGGTCTCGATCTCCTGACCTCGTGATCCACCCGCCTCGGCCTCCCAAAGTGCTAGGATTACAGGCGTGAGCTACCGCGCCCGGCCAAATCAACTGTATTTCTATACACCAGTAATAACCAGAAAAGTGTCATTTAACGAAGACCCTTAACCACAGCAACTTGAAAATAAACGAAACCTAGAAGTAAAACTAGTAAAATTTGCAAGACCTTTAAGGAAATCGATAGTCTTTACTGAAGATCTAAATAGGCTGGGTGTGGTGGCTCACACCTGTAATCACAGCACTTTGGGAGGCCTAGGTGGGTGGATCACGTGAGGTCAGAAGTTCAAGACCAGCCTGACCAACCTGGTGAAATCCCATCTCTACTTACAAAAATTAGCCAGGGGTGCTGGCAGGCGCCTGTAATTCCAGCTACTCGGGAGGCTGAGGCAAGGAGACCCGGGAGGCAGAGGTTACAGTAAACCAAGACTGCGCCACTGCAATCCAGCCGGGTGAAGGAGTGAGACTCTGTCTCAAAGTAAAATAAAATAACAAATAGAGACAGGCCAGGCACAGTGGCTCATGTCTGCAATCACAAAACTTTGGGAGTTGAGGCGGCAGATCACCTGAGGTCAGGAGTTCAAGACCAGCCTGACCAACATGGTTTCACCAAACCCCATCTCTACTAAAAATACAAAAATTAGCTGGGTGTGGTGGCGGGCACCTGTAATCCTAGCTACTCAGGAGGCTGAGGCAGGACAATCGCTTGAACCCAGGAGCCAGAGGCTGCAGTGAGCCGAGATCGTGCCACTGCACTCCAGCCTGGTGACACAGCAAGACTGTCTCAGTAAATAAATAAGCAAATAAATATACAAATAAATGGAGAAATAAAATCTTCATGGGGAAAAAAAGATCACTCAGTATCATAAAAATGTAAATTCTCCTGAAATTACTTCATAGATTTAGTAAATATTCAATTGGGGTTTTAAGGTTTTGAGGTTTATGGGGTTCATAAACTAACTCTAATACAGAAGAGCAAGAACTGAAAAACAGTCAAAATCCCTGAAGAAAAAATCTGCGTTACTAGCTATGAAGAATTAGCATAAAGACACAATAATTTGAGGTTGGGTGTAGTGGCTCATGCTTGTAATCCCAGCAATTTGGGAGGCTGAGGTAGGTGGCCACTTGAGGTGGCCAGGAGTTAGAGACCAGCCCGGCCAACAGGCAAAAATCCATCTCCACTAAAAATATAAAAATTAGTTGGGTGTGGTGGCATGTGCCTATAAGTCCAGCTACCTCAAGAGGCTGTGGTGGGAGAATCACTTGAACCTGGGAGGCTGAGATTGAGCAACACTCTGTCCCTAGGGGTGGAGGAGGGAAGGCCGGGCGTAGGGGATCACACCTGTAATCCCAGCACTTTGGGAGGCGCCAAGGTGGGCAGATCACCTGAGGTCAGGAGTTTGAGACCCGCCTGCCCAACACGGTGAAACCCCATCTTTACTAAAAAGACACAATTAGCTGGTGGCGCACACCTGTAATCCCAGCTACTTGGGAGGCTGAGGCAGGAGATTCGCTTGAACAGAGGTTGCAGTGAGCCAAGACTTGCGCCATTGCACTCCAGCCTGGGCACCAAGAAGGAAACTCCGTCTCAAAAAAAAAAAAAAAAAAAGGCTAATCTTTTTTAAAAAGGAACAAACCATAAGATACCTAGAAAGAAGTCAGGCAAAGGCAACCTTAGAAAACAACTCTCAACATCAATTCAATCTCTTTAAAATGCTCTGTGGTTTAAAGTTCTGCCAGATGACCTGGTTATGCTTTTACTGACCTTAACAACCCCACACTGCTTAAAGAAGTCTGCCAGATCATCTAGAGTCACACTGTCATTTAATCCTTGTACATAAATTGCACTGTTGTCAGAGTCTTCATCTGGATCTACAGGTGGGCCTTTCAGAGACAACAAGACAGGAGAATTATTATCATGTATCTATAGGGGTTTCTTAACTACCTGATCACTACTGCCCAAGGATATTCATCATAAATCTAAGAAAACTACCAAGCATACTAAGAAGAATGCTATCAAACTTTTGGTTTACTTCACTTAAGGCAATTATGAGTAGATGCTCACATAGGATTTCCCAAACTGTCCTTGACAGCAAGAATATCACACTGGTCTATAAGGCTGCTGAACTCTACGCATGCATTTACCTCTGTACCATTAATTTACAAAGCACGATATGAAGCACAACTAGAATTCAAAATTACCTAGATCAAGATCTGGTCCTTCATCCATGGGTCCTGCCAACCAGGAAAGATCATATAAAATATTATTAGTGCACGTCTTGCAAGCTACAAACCTTACAAACACACATAGCTATCTACTATACCACCATTTGATGGGGATTCATTAAACTCAAAATGACCCGCACTGCTAAAATGGAGCAGTGTCTCTTTAACATTTGTGAAAGGTTTGCTAGGGTTTGCTTTTTTCCTTTGCTGGTTTGCTTCTAAACCATTAACCAAATACACTCTCAATGCTTATGTGCCAAATCAGTGTTAAATTTAAGTCAAAATTTTTCCTCTAAATAAACCAAATTTAAAAATTTATTCTCCCCCATATTACAGAAGCAGTTACTCAATACTTCAAGTTACCCTTTGTTTTGTAACCATAGGTTAACCTTATTAACCCCTAAGACAATGCCGGCAGTACCCATTAGTCTCTTTTGTATAGATCATTTTTAAACCACTTATGAAACTAATAAAAAAATTATAGTTTTCTAAAAACTGACTGCATTTTTTTTTAAACACTATCTATGGTAATACTCAAAAACTTACCACCAGGCTTATTGAAGCCACCTCGCTCTCCAGCGCTGCTGGGGGGATAAACGAAGAAATGAAGGCCTTTCCCTTTAAAAGCCAGTACCGCTCTGAGCCTTGGGGGGGCTCGTGGGGAAGAAGGGCACTGGCTAAACACATCTCCAAACAATGCATCTCTCTCATCTTGTCACTATGCCTTTCTTCAGGGCAGCTTGCTCAAATTTCCTCAATATACAACCTTGCTTGTCTGATTGTACACACCAGTGTGGTTGGTTCCTTTCATTTCGGGGGCTGGTATTAATAGTGCAATACTTGGCAAATTAGCAAGAAAAAATAGATCCCAAACACCCACCCCGTCAGGTGAAAAACCAGAAGAGCTTGGTATAGAGGGGAGGAGCAAGTGGGGGTTAACTGCTGTGATAAACCTTTCCATGTTCATAAAGGTGCACCCTCAACCTCTCCCAAGGGAGAGCCAAATGAGGCCCAGGGTTTCCTAACAAGTCACAGTATAATAAAAGCAGGAGACAACCACATTAAATTCCTACAACACACATCAGAGGACGCATCCAGCCAATCTTCAGCATAAAGCCATACATCTCAGGGCACGAATAGATTTAACAATCGCTGTGAAAGGAGAATTTACAACAAATACCAAGGCTCAACGGACTGGGGGTGCAACTTTATAGACATATCAGTTAGAATAATGACTATGGCCATGTAAAATTACTTAAAGAGGGGAGAGGGAAATATGAATTGGACTTTTTGGGTTAGATTTTGTTTTCTTTAAAATTAAATAAAGGCAGCTCCCCAGTGGGAGGCCCTGAGTTTTTTCTAACCAGTATTGCACCTTTAATACCTGAATATACAATTTCAAGCTGTTGCATGCAGCTTTGTTTCCTTTTTAAAAGTACACACCATAAAATGTTCTCTCTCTTTAAACACAAAAGTTTACACTTTAATGTTACACAATTCTAGAGTATTATACCTCCTCTGGTTCATTACCAAACAACAAGTATGCAGTTACCAAAGTTACAGAAGGATTCCATTTATACAATGAATACATTTTGTTAAAAATATTCTATGTATATTTTTCCTCTCCATATGGACACCGTGTCTAGTCCCACTTTTCATTATGCTGCCGGCTGAGTACTGAGTACGGGTACTTTTTAAGTATTGAAGTGTATACAAGGCTCTCACTTTGTAACCTGTAGCATATAAATGCGACAAAGCATGTTAAAAAGTTTCCACGTTTAACAGCCAATGAAAATATCAAAATACTGAGGCAATGAAAAAGGGCATGTTAACAACATTGAGTGCCTTACCTGTACAAGACACTGAAAACCATCACCACACCACAATAAAAAGGGGGGCAACGAGGGAAATGCCCGTCTATCCCCACAGGATCCGACAGACTGCTTCACAGTCTGTTGAAAAACCTATGGGGAAAGCCATGGTCTCTTCTATGGCTGCAAGAGAGACTTCTCATCCAGAAAGAGGGGCCCCCTCTACTAGCAAAGTCTAGCACAATTAGTAGGATTATAACTTCTGGAGTATTTAAATAAACTTGAAATTGTATTTGCAATTTAAAAATACTAGGAATTCTAGGTGATTTGAGACGTGATGATAGTACTTTCAAGTGTCTATGTCTATTTTAAAACATCCAAAAAGAAGTGAAACCTTTATAATAGAGTATTTTCCAAATCAGAAGATTGATTTTACTTCATACCGAATCATTAAATTTTTGCCTGTTGTCAAATGACTTTCTTCCAATAAAGATTTCACTAAAGACTTTCTTAAAGTTATGCAGAATATGCAAAATAGTACTGTCTTTCAGTAGTGAAGAGTATTTGCTAATATGGAAGTTAAAAATCAACTTTAATTTTGAAGTTCATTCTGTTTTTTAAAAAATGCTATTTAATTTTTCCTTGAATAGTGGCACACCGTATCAAATGTAAATATCTAACATTCTGCATAACTTTTTTTTTTCTTTACCAGTTTATATAGGGACAGAACACACACAGAACTAAGCCTTCTGGATTATGTTAACCACCAATATTATAGCTCACCTTCATCAAAGTACAGACACCAGATAGGGAAAAGGGGATGGGAGAAGGGAGGGGAAGGGCAGGCAGAGGCAGCAGGGTTATGTCATTGATCTAAACAAAGTTTTCTAAACCAGATTGTGCCATCAATCAAAATGGTCAAACCGATTTAGACTTTCAACATCTCCAGTAGGAAGTGAGCCCATAATTATATACATTACTCTGCAAAATGCTATTGGATTTTTCTTTGCTCCATCCAAACTCTATGTAATCAGGTGCACCTCAGGCTATAGTTTAAGGATTATGGGACCAAAATCTTCATATGTTCAACGATTCTGAGTACAAACAGAAGTTGGGGACAAACACTGTGGAAAACAGCTGCATTCCTTTTCTGCAGTATATACACCAGGTATTTCAAGACAACCATTCAAAGGCAGTTAGTTAACAACTTAGGGTCATTAGAAGGGTTGTGTGTGTTCCATCCCAAATCTACTACCCACAGAGGCTTCTCACCTCTGGAAACCATGAAGGGAACTGAAAGCTCTGGTTTCAAAACCATTCTTTGTTCTCCCCGACCCAACGAAGTATACTGGCAGGGAAAGAAAATAAACTGCCACTTAATATATGCCACAAAGATGACATTTCCATGTTTTAGAAGATGGCTTGAGCTCAACAGATTGTCCATGGAAATGCAGAAATTAATTTCTTATGTCTTTCAGTCCCTTCTTTCCACTGAAAATCCTATGGATGAAACAAAATTAGGTAAAAGGAGAAAAGGTTTGCTCTTACCCCATTCCACCGCGTCCTCCTCCCCGCCCACCTCTGCTCATGCCTCCACGATCAAATCCCCCTCTTCCCCTGCCCCGGTTATCAGGGCCACTCATGCTCCGGTTCTCTCCTGGTCCGGAAAATCCTCCAGACTCCTGCCCATAAACACCCATGCTACTGGGGTGGTCCTGTCGGAATGAACCTGAGGAAAGAGTCACATCTGTAAGCCATGGACCAGCATTTACACCACTGCCTGATGTACTTTCTCCTGGAATCACAAAATCCTCAATTCCAAGGCACTAACCAAGGCACCATCTTCTTTACATCACGATAAAGCATCCTTAATAGGTAGGCTCTTTTAAGTTCAACAAAACTGCTGGATCATCACAGCTGAAATAACCTTATATAGTTAGCCTATAATAAACCTCTTCTAAATAACAACAACAAAAAAAGCCCTCTGGCTAACATATAGTTTATAGGGTTCTATATCCTAAGATGTCTCCAAAAGCAGCTTCTTTTGAGCTAAACTCAAGAAATGAAAACAGAGCCAGGTTTCTTAGGGCTTTAGCACACTGCTAGGGGCTGAGCTCCATAAATCAACACTACTCCTTTGAGTTGTTGAGAAATCCCCGTGGATAGAATGTAATTTAAAAAGAGCAATGATCCTAAATTCTGAAGATAATTATGTGTTTTGGTTACCTCTCTCCATACAGAAGAACTGCAAATATTCTGTGAGGAGGATTATTTTTCCCCCTTTCCTTTTCTATTTTCTTAAAGAATCTTTATTTATCTTTAAAAAGACAGGGTCTCACTATGTTGCCCAGGGTGGTCTCAAACTCCTGGTCTCAAGTGATCCTCCTGCCTTGGCCTCCCCCAAAGTGCTGGGATTACAGGTGTGAGCCACCATGCCTGGCCATTTTTCCCCTTAATGGATATAAACAAACAGCAACAAAAAAACATAGCTTTTACTTGACTATCAAAATCATAGTGGCCTGCAATAGCTGCCTCCCCACTTTACATTAATGACTGATAGGGAGGCCAAAAACGATGTTGAATTTACTCACTGCATACAACTTCCCCAAAGACAGCAGGGCTAGCAGTCTAAAACATTTTTTCTGATCAATTAGTATCTCTTTTCTTTTTTGCCAAGGCATACTAAAAACAAATTGGAAAAAAGCACTGAAATCTTCACTGGGGCATCCAAGATGTTAGCTGGAATGCCATGCCCTAAAGATGTGTCCTGGATTCCAAAAGCAAACAATGGCAAAGAGTATTCCCCCTGTTCAAAAACTCCAAACGTGGCTGGGCGCAGTGGCTCATGACTGTAATCCCAACACTCTGGGTGGCTGAGGCGGGAGGATCACCTGAGGTCAGGAGTTCGAGACCAGCCTGACCAACATGGTGAAACCCCGTCTCTACGAAAAATACAAAAAATAGCTGGGCATAGTGGCAGGCGCCTATCATCTCAGCTACTCGGGAGGCTGGGGCAGGAGAATTGCTTGAACCAGGAGGCGGAGGCTGCAGTGAGCTGAGATGGCACCACTGTACTCCAGCCTCAGCCCCAAGAGTGAAACTCCATCTCAAAAGAAAAACAAACCAACAAAAAAAATCAACCCCACAAAAAAACTCTAAACACATTCATTCTTATTTGGTTTTCTCTCTTAGCAACTCACTCTGCTGCCCGTAGCTGCTGCTCTGTTGGCTATATTGACTTGGAGCTTGGCTGTAGGATCCAGTTTGGGGTGGGTAACTAGTGGGAGGCTGCTGCCCATAGCTGCTTTGTTGACCATAGCTACTCTGCTGTCCATAGCTGCTCGGTTGCCCATAGGTGTTCTGCTGAGAGTAACTGCTCTGATCATAACTAGTCGGCTGTGTAGAGGAATAGCTGAAAGAGAGAGAAGAGAAAAAAAAAAAAGCTTTTTTAGAAAGAGGCTTGTTATTTCAAATCCCCTGAATAAAAGAGACATTCACACCATGTGACACAGACATCCATAAAACAGTAGTTACTTTCTACACATCAACAATTTGAATTTCAACTCAGCAAATACTTTTGTGTTCAGAATAAAACATTAAATGGGAGGGTAAAACAAAAAAATTTTTTTTTTTTTTTTTTTTTTTTTTGAGACAGAGTGTTGCTCTGTTGCCTAGGCTGGAATGCAGTGGCGTGATCTCCGGTCACTGCAAGCTCTGCCTCCCGGGTTCATGCCATTCTCCTGCCGCAGCCTCCCGAGTAGCTGGGACTACAGGTGCCCACCACCACGCCTGGCTAGTTTTTTTGTTTTTAGTAGAGACAGGGTTTCATCTTGTTAGCCAGGATGGTCTCCATCTCCTGACCTCATGATCCGCCCACCTCGGCCTCCCAAAGTGCTGGGATTACAGGCATGAGCCACGGTGCCCAGCTGGGAGGGGGAAATATTATAACCACCATCTGTATAATCCTTAAAGAGTTTTCTCTTAATCGCCACTCCCATTTAAAACAATGGTCATTTTCAGCTGGGAGCGGAGGCTCATGCCTGTAATCCCAGCACTTTGGAAGGCTGAGGCTGGGGGAATGGCATGAACCCGGGAGGTGGAGTTTGCAGTGAGCTGAGATCCGCTACTGTACTCCAGCCTTGGCGACTCGGGAACAGAGTGAAGATTCCGTCTCCAAAAAAAAACCCAAAAAATCAGGCCGGGTGCGGTGGCTCACGCTTGTAATCTCAGCACTTTGGGAGGCCGAGGCAGGCACATCATGAGGTCAAGAGATCGAGACCATCCTGGCTAACATGGTGAAACCCCCATCTCTACTAAAAAATACAAAAAATTAGCCAGGCCTGGTGGTGGGCGCCTGTAGTCCCAGCTACTGGGGAGGCTGAGGCAGGAGAATGGCATGAACCCAGGAGGCGGAGCTTGCAGTGAGCCGAGATAGTGCCACTGCACTCCAGCCTGGGCGACAGAGCGAGACTCCGTCTCAAAAGAACAAAACAAAACGTCATTTTCAACTATATTCAAGGCAGGCAAATATGGGAGTTTAGATGCTTCCTGTATTGTGGCAAGAATATGCACTTGGGGAAGGCTGACCCAGTGAAATGGGGACTGAGAAAATATAGAGAGAGTGAAGTGAGGCATTCAGTTCCAAGCCTGCCCGCCAATAATCTCGAGTTAACGATTTTCTGAAGGGATAAGGGTACTCAACACAAAAATAGTAGTTTTCCCTCAAAGATTTGTCTTTGCTACTTTCAATCTTTCAGACATGCCTGATTAACTATGAAATCTGAGTATTAATAGAGGAAACTTCAGAATGAAGGAATTGTATGAAAGACAAATATTAAGATTATGTCAATTACATGGGAGAAATTAATAGATACATTCTTGCACAGAAATGAAGCTTGAAAAGAACTGGTATTGGCCAGGTTTGAAGGCTCATGCCTGTAATCCCAGCACTTTGGGAGGCCAAGGCAGGTGGATCACCTGAGGTCAGGAGTTTGAGACCAGCCTGACCAACATAGTGAAACCCCACCTACTAAAAATACAAAAATTAGCTGGGTATGGTGGCACACGCCTATAGTCCCAGCTACTCGAGAGGCTGCGGCAAGAGAACTGTTTAAACCTGGAAGGCAGAGGCTGCAGTGAGCCAAGACAGCGCCACTGCACTCCAACCTGGGCAACAGAGCAAAACTCCATCTCAAAAAAAAAAAAAAAAAAACAAGGGCCAGAAGCAGTGGCTCACACCTGTAATCCCAGCACTTTGGGAGGCAGAGACGGGTGGATCACCTGAGGTCAGGGGTTCGAGACTAGCCTGACCAACATGGAAAAACACCGTCTCTACTAAAAATACAAAATTAGCTGTGTGTGGTGGCACATGCCTATAATGCCAGCTACTTGGGAGGCTGACGTAGGAGAATCACTTTAACCTGGGAGGCGAGGGTTGCGGTGAGCCAAGATCGCACCATTGCACTCCAGCCTAGGTAACAGGAGTGAAACTCCGTCTCAAAAAAACAAAACAAAACACACACAAAAACAAAAAAACCCATCTGGTATTAAGCTTTACAAATCATGATGAGAAACAGTAAGGACACATATTTTAAAGTCCGATTAAACTAGGCCAGGAAGTTCGAGGCTACAGGGGGCTACGACTGTGTCACTGTACCCCAGCCTGGACAACAGAGTGAGACCCGGTCTCCAAAAATAAACAAACAAACAAAGCTTCTAACACACCACATCCCTCACCATTGCTGTATGAATTCAATAATCTCTCACTGTGTACCTATCCAACTTGCCAGATTAACTGCTATTAACTGCTCTCAATGCAATAGGTACGAACCTGCTCTGTGGAAGAAGGGTTGTAAGCCCTACCCACTTTTGCTCCAAGCTGGCTGTATGGAGAGACACCCAATCAATTCTACTTGTTCCTAAACCTGTTCACATCTGCTGCAAAACAATGAAATGAGTGCAAAAAAGGGAACCGCTACTTCTAGCAAAACTTTCAGGGCACAATTCAAACAATTTGAAAACCCACATCTAATTAAACATGGGTTAAGAAAACTTGCAGGCTGGGCATGGTGGCTCACACCTGTAATCCCATAATCCCAGCACTTTGGGAGGCCAAGGTGGGCGGATCACTTGAGGCCAGGAGTTCAAGACCAGCCTGGCCAACATTGTGAAACCCTGTATCTACTAAAAATACAAAAACTGGGCCAGGCGCAGTGGCTCATGCCTGTATTCCCAGCACTTTGGGAGGCCGAGGCAGGCGGATCACCTGAGGATGGGAGTTCAAGACCAGCCTGACCAACATGGAGAAACCCCGTCTCTACTAAAAATACAAAATTAGCCGGTTGTGGTGGCGTCTGTATCTAATCCCAGCTACTAGGGAGGCTGAGGCAGGAGAATCGCTTGAACCCAGGAGGCAGAGGTTGCGGTGAGCCAAGATCACGCCATTGCACTCCAGCCTGGGCAACAAGAGCAAAACTCCATCTCAAAACAAACAAACAAACTGGCTGGGCGCAGGGGCTCGCGCCTGTCACCCCAGCACTTTGGGAGGTGGAGGCGGGTGGATCACCTGAGGTCAGGAATTCCAGACAAGCCTGGCCCACATGGTGAAACCCTGTCTCTACTAAAAATACAAAAAAAAAAATTTTTGCCAGGTGTGGTAGTGAGCACTTGTAATCCCAGCTACTCAGGAGGCTGAAGCAGGAGAATCACTTGAACCCAGGAGGTGGAAACTGCAGTAAGCCGAGATTGTGCCATTGCACTCCAGCCTGGGCAACAAGAGCGAAACTCCATCTCAAAACAACAATAAAACAAAAAGAAAAGTTAGTCAGGTGTGGTGGCATGCACTTGCAGTCCCAGCTACTCGGGAGGCTGAGGCATGAGAATCCCTAGGAGGCAGAGGTTGCAGTGAGCGGAGATCGTGCCACTGCACTCCAGCCTGTGCAACAGAGTGAGACTCTGTCTCAAAAAAGAAAACTTGGCCAGGCGATAATAATAAAAATAAAATAAAAAGAGTTGGCCCATACATTAAAAGGTTAGTGCATGAATAAACCTTTATGTGTTAGGTAAAATGTAAAATGATTAAGGTGAATTATAATGCCCTGCGCTTTACTTATCCTAACTGCATTGGGGAAGATGGCTCTTACATCTATTTACATGCTTTCATATACTTCTGCTTCCCATCTGAGTTAACTAAAACAGCAAAAGGAAGAAACTTAAAGAAAGAACTTAGAGTGGTAAAAATGTTTTTGTATTTAGAAAGAATAGTTATTAGCTGGGCCGGGTGCGGTGGCTCACGCCTGTAATCCCAGCACTGTGGGAGGCCGAGATGGGTGGATCACGAGGTCAGGAGATTGAGACCATCCTGGCCAACACAGTGAAACCCTGTCTCTACTAAAAATACAAAAAATTAGCTGGGCGTGGTGGCGGGCACCCGTAGTCCCAGCTACTCGGGAGGTTGAGGCAGGAGAATGGCGTGAACCCAGGAGGTGGAGCTTGCAGTGAGCCGAGATCGCGCCACTGCACTCCAGCCTGGGCGACAGAGAGAGACTCCGTCTCGGGGGAAAAAAAAAAAAAAAGAAAAAAGAATAGTTATTAGCTGCCAGGCAACACTATGGGACCCTAGATCTCAGGCTTTAATGTAACCAAGTATGGTCAGATGACTTATCACTGCGACAGTCAGATAACATACCTTAGCTGAAGAAGTCAAAGCAAGCTGGTCAACAACCTGAAAAAAACTGTTTTGTCACTGTTTTTGTTTTGCCACAAAAAGTAGACTGACCTGGTAGGAGGGTAGGATGGAGGTGCAGTGACTGGCTGCATGGGGTAGCTCCCAGGTACCTGGGGATAACTGTAGTTACTCTGTCCATATCCTAGGCTGGGCTGGTTGTAACCCCCTGTGCTAGATTGAGGTTGACTAGTCTCAGTGGGCTTGTTTCCATCCTGCGGTCTAAGAGGAGAAATAATAAATAAAATTAAAAAGTGACTTTTTTTGTGTGGTTGGTCAACCACAAAACTCCTGGGTAAGAATGCTACAAAGCTACGAGCAATAAGCAATGTTATGATTAAGCCTGGAAATAAATACAATAATAAATACAATCCTAAAGTAAACTACATCAAACTCAGTGTCGGTCCAACTATATTTGCTTGAAGACAACACTAAGGAAGGGGGAGAATCAATCATATCCACAGAAGAGACATTAATATGCTCCATTCATCACAGTAAACGCTATAAAAGTGCGTTGCGATATTGTGTGCTACCAGTTTAGGTGATCCGGGAGAAGTGATCTGTTAGGGAATAAATGCTTTTTCTCAAAGGGGACTGCTGAAGACCAGAAACTAACAATAATGTTAAGTTTTAGGTTGAAGTAACATTTACGTAAGTCCATGGCATCATAAATTTAGAGAATTTGTGGGTTTATGTTTCTCATTTATTAAAAACAGACCAGGTCAAGGCCAGGCGAGAATGGCTCATGCCTATAATCCCAGCACTTTGGGAGGCCGAGGAGGGCGGATCACGAGGTCAGCAGATTGAGACCATCCTGGCTAAGACAGTGAAACCCTGTCTCTACTAAAAATACAAAAAAAAAAATTAGCCAGGCATGGTGGTGGGCGCCTGTAGTCCCAGCTACTCAGGAAGCTGAGGCAGGAGAATGGCGTGAACCCAGGAGGCGGAGCTGGCAGTGAGCCGAGATCGCGCCACTGCACTCCAGCCTGGGCGACAGAGCAAGACTCCGTCTCAAAAACAAACAAACAAAAAAAATCCCAGCACTTTGGGAGGCTGAGGCAGGAGGATGGTTTGAGCCCAGGAGTTTCAGACCAGCCTGGTAATATAGGGAGACCCCACCTCTACAGAAATAGAAAAATATTAGCCAGGTATGGTGGTACATGCCTGTGGTCTCAGCTACTTGGAAGACTGAGGTGGGAGGGACTGCTGGGGCATGGGAGGTGAAGGCTGCAGTGAGCTGTTAGATCGCGTACTCCATCCTGGGCAACAGAGAGACTCCATCTCAAAAAAAACAAACTGCCAGGTGCGGTGGCTCATGCCTATAATCCCAGCACTTTGGGAGGCCAAGGCAGGTGGATTGCATGATGTCAGGAGTTGGACACCAGCCTGGCCAACATGGAGAAACCCCGTCTCTACTAGAAATACAAAAAATTGGCTGGTAGCGGTGGTTCACACCTATAATCCCAGAACTTTGGGAGGCTGAGACAGGAGGATCACGAGGTCAGGAGATCGAGACTATCCTGGCAAACACAGTGAAACCCTGTCTCTACTAAAAATACAAAAAATTAGCCAGGCATCATGGTGGGTGCCTGTAGTCCCAGCTACTTGGGAGGCTGAGGTAGGAGAATGGCATGAACCTGGGAGGCGGAGCTTGCAGTGAGCTGAGATGGCGCCACTGCACTCCAGCCTGGGCGACGGAGCAAGACTCTGTCAAAAAAAAAAAAAAAAAAAAAAAAAAAAAAAAAAAAACAACACACACACACACACAAAATTAGCTGGGCAGAGTGGCGGGCACCTGTAATCCCAGCTACTCAGGAGGCTGAGGCAGGAGAATCACTTGAACCCCGGAGGCGGAGGCTCCAGCGAGCCGAGATTGTGCCATCGCACTCTAGCCTGGACAACAAGAGCAAAACTCCATCTTAAAAAAAAAAAAAAAACCAACCAAACCATCCAACCAACCAGAAAAAAATCATTTCCTAAACTGGGCTGCCATAAACTAATCTAACTTGGCTCAAAGTCTCCGTAATGGAAACACCAGAGTAAGGCAAAGAGACCCCTCCCAAGTCCCTGCTCAGATGAACCTGGAAGTAAGTATCCCTGTTAAATGACGAAAATTAATCTCAGTTCCAAGGAAAACTCCAGGGGTTTCTATTACCTCTTGGCCCTAACACTTTACATCAAGGCTGCAGCAGACTGAGTTAGAGCTATTAATATTTTAAGCAAAGTCCAAAGAATCAACAGGCAGGCCGGGTGCGGTGGCTCACACCTGTAATCCCAGCACTTTGGGAGGCCAAGGCAGGCGGATCACTTGAGGTCACGAGTTCGAGACCAGCCTGGCCAACATAGTGAAACCTTGCCTCTACTAAAAATACAAAAATTAGCCGGGCATGGTGGTACATGCCCGTAGTCCCAGCTACTCGGGAAGCTAAGCCAGGAGAATTGCTTGAACCTGGGTGGTGGGTGCACTCGCCACTGCACTCCAGCCTGGACAACAGAGCAACACTCCATCTCAAAAACCAACCAACCAACCAACCAACCCAGAAAAACCAGAGAGGGTGTGAAGTACTAACTTTTCCTGAGCTGAAATAGGTCCCATACCCTTTTCCAGTCGAAAAAGCAGTTGCCACTGATTATGAGACAGACAGCTGTTTTAAAGTGGTAACAAGTGAAAAGAAAAAAAAAGGATGACTTATCAAAACCCAATTCATATATAAAACCCTCCAGATATGGCTTGGATATACTGTTGCATCAGAGTATCAAATGGGACTTCATACATCTGATGACACTCGGAAATGAGGCCTTTCAGGAATAAGCCACTAAGTTTAACTTAGCTACTGCAAAGGTGGTCTACCAAGGGTAAATTGCCAAGCGGCTCCGATTACTCACTGTGCATTTTAAAAGTAATTTCACGAGTGTTTGTCAGAGCTAATTTCTTACCTCTAGAGCAGATATATCTAGGTTAGAAGTTGATTTCCTAAAATGTCTTCTTTCAAACCAGAATTCAATGTCCTTTCAAGACTGTATACACAAGCCAGTTAAGTGACTGCCTAAAGCAAAGATCTAAAATCTTTTGTTAAGTAATAATTATACTGTTTACCTGCTAACCAGTCATGGGGTATGAGCTCTGCTCATCCTATAGCAGGGTACCCAGTTAAGAATTTTTATTTGCCTATAATATTTAGATTAAGCCTCTATACAATGTAGGGAAGTCATGTCAATTGCTTAAGCCGAGACAGTAATGTTTGATTTCTTGAATATGGTTATGTCCTTTCCAGACAATTAGGTCATACGACCATTTCTTGACTCACATGATGCTCCCTTCCCCTCCTGCCTGTGTGAACTACCATGTTTTTGCCAAAGAGAAAGCGGTTACCCATTTACAGGGTCAATGAAATCAAAGATAAAAGCATCAAAAGTACAATTCAAAAGTACAATTCTATCAGTTATGCTGTTTTGAGTGAAAACACACACACACACACTCTCTCTCTCTCTTCTTCTGGGTTTAAAAACAATAGCCTTCTCCTACCCTAAAAGGTCATTCTGAAACCAGAGAACCTATTCAGTGCCATTCCTCATTTTGACCCTTCGATAGCACCATTTCACTTTTTTTTTTTTTTGAGGTGAAGTCTTCCTCTGTCGCCCAGGCTAGAGTACAATGGTGCCATCTTAGCTCACTGTAACCTCCATCTCCCAGGTTCAAGTAATTCTCCTGCCTCAGCCTCCCCAGTAGCTGGGATTACAGGTGTGCGCCACCACGCCCAGCTAATTTTTCTATTTTTTTTTTTTTGAGACCGAGTCTTGCTATGTCTCCCAGGCTGGAGTGCAGTGGAGCGATCTCAGCTCACTGCAAGCTCCGCCTCTCGGGTTCATGACATTCTCCTGCCTCAGCCTCCCGAGTAGCTGGGACGACAGGCACCCACCACCATGCCCGGCTAATTTTTTGTATTTTTCAGCAGAGCCGGGGTTTCACCGTGTTAGCCAGGATGGTCTCGATCTCCTGACCTTGTGATCCCCCTGCCTCGGCCTCCCAAAGTGCTGGGATTACAGGCGTGAGCCACTGCGCCCCCCCGGTATTTTTGCATTTTTAGTAGAGACGGGGTTTCACCCATGTTGGCCAGGCTGGTTTCAAACTCCTGACCTTATATGATCCGCCCGCCTCGGCCTCCCAAAGAGCTAGAATTACAGGCATGAGAAACCGCGCCCAGCCAATTTCACTGTTAAATGCAGAATATTTCTGTGGTATGTTCTAGCACATCAGTTACTAACAGTGAACATCTGAGAGTATATGAAAGCAACCACTAATAAGGAACTAAACCACAGATTATTTTAAGTGTACACAGTTGCTTTCTTTCCCTCCAACATAAGACTGACGCATTAAGGACACCATGGCCTTACCTTGTAGGTGCAGTGGCTGCTGGCTGCTGCCCATAGGCTGGATAAGCAGGCTGAGTGCCATATGCAGACTGAGCTGCATAGGAGGCCTGGGTGGTGGTGACTGTAGCAGTGGTGGTATCATAAGCACCAGTGCCATACCCCTGGACAGGCTGGCTGTATGCCTGGGGGGCAGTTGGAGTAGTATAACCTAGAACAAAGGAGAGCTGCATCAGATTTCAGGTCCCCTCAGAGATCTGCCTAGACACTCATTATCAGAACAATTTGTAAACCACTTACTTTAAACCATCAGGATATTGAATCCCTTTAAATATTCCCCCTTCCGCAAGAGTAGCAACAAACTGGTATTTAAAGCCTAAGTTCTCTGAATGTACCTAGTTTTTGGTAAAGTAACTGTCTCATTTGCTCTAAAACCACACCTAACAGAAATGGCATGTCATGCTACAGAAAACAGGGTTCCTTCTGCCCCCTCTTGAATGCTGTGAATAGGAGACAAGTCTGTTTTTGCCAAGTCTGTACTGATTTTGCTAGCAGGTCGTCTTAACAAGTTTGTAAACAAACTTACCCCAAAATACCCTCAAGCAGGAATAAAACATCCCAGAAGAAAAGGTAAAAGGCAAATGACATAGCATTTTAAAATAATTAGAAAATGATCCAGGTACTAGTTCTAGCACTAAAACCTGTAATTTGGGTAGTAATTAATTTAATCACTTTCTTTTGGTCCCAAGCACTAACATCATGTGAAGCACAAGCTTAATTACTTGAGCACATGATTAATAAAAATAAGCTATAAATTATAGTTGCTTAACACAGTTTATCCTTTTTTTGTAAATTATTTAAAATTAAACTTCGATATTGCTCCAAACAAACATTTAAAAGGTAATGTTTTCACATCATAAAGCAGATTCCTGCCTCGTTATCAAGTTACTCAGCTCCATTCCTCTTACTTACCTACCACAAGCAAAAGGCCTTTTTCCTGCTCAGCAATATTGGAGGTAAACCCTAGAGTCTCTCCTCCCCTTCAGTATTTCACTAACCAGGTGTCAGAAAAAACCTGGTTTCACAGGTATGCTGCAAAGCAAGATGCATTCTATCCCTAGCTCCTGCCTCTGCCAGACCAGGCAGGATCCATGCCTTTCCCTTCGGGACTTCGGCGTGGAGCATGACCAAAACCACGAAAGTCTGCAGCTCCTAACTAGAGTACCTTTCCTGTAGGAGGTGTTACAACCATTCCTGGTGCTGGACTCTTCTTCCTCATGGTCAATGGGTACAATTAAGCCATGCAATAAAAAGTTTGGTTTACACTTTGGGAGGCTGAGGTGGGAGGACTGCTTGAGTTTAGGAGTTAGAGACCACCCTGGGCAATATAGTGAGACCTCGCCTCTACAAAAAATAAACAAACTTAGCTGGGCATGGTGGCGTGAGCCTTCAGTCCCAGCTACTTGGGAGGCTGAGGTGGGTGGACTGCTTGAGGCTGGGAGGTCAAGGCTGCAGTAAGATCCAGCCTAGGCAACAGAGACCCTATCTTAAAAAAACAAAACAAAACAAAACTTTGGTCTAGGTGCTGGCATTTATATCCAAAAAAAAAGTCTACATCTCACTAAAGAAAAAGCTTCCATATTTAAAATAAATCCTGAATCAAGACTGCCCATTTTAGTTAAGATTTAGGGCCTTAAAGTGTCCTCATGTACTGGCCAGAAACAAGTATCAGCTTCCTTTTGTACAATCACCATTTGTAGCACAGAATATAATAATACTCTTTCTTCTCTACCTCAAATATTAAAAGGAAATTCTGAAATTATACACAGAGATAGTAATGTCCTTGTCAAAACTGCTGAGTTAAAATGTGTATGAAAGTATACATAGTTCCAGAAAACAGGAAGCCCCAAGCAATAAAAGTTTTTGAGTTGGCATGTTGTTCATCTGAACTGCTTAAGTTTTTGCAGAGTCCTAAGGTCAACCACATAAGGCATTCATTTATTTAAATTAGAATCTAATACCATCTACCCTACCGTTCATATACCGATTACACCCCACTACATGACACGTCTATAAGATTTACAAGGAGGGCAATTAAAAAAACAAAAAACTAAAAGTGATCAGGGCAATAACTCATGTCATAAAACTATGCAGCAACAGTTAGGGCCTTGTCATGCTAAAGATTACAGCAATAGACACTGGGTTAATAAATAACCTTTTAATTAATCTGTAGTACCCACAAAAGCAGCCAAGCAAAATGAACAAAAATCAACAGAGCAAAATGATTTAATGACCAAAAAAAAAACAAAAAAACAAAAAAACAAAAGACCAGTGGCAAAAAAAGAAAACACACCTACTATGTGCTGACAACTTGAAGGAAAAAGGTGGTAAGAAATATTACACAAACCAAAACTTTTGTTCAACGTAAAAATTAAGAAGTTTTTAAGAATTCCATTGAATTGAGGTTTATATAACCCCTTTCTTCTGAAGTTTAATTTTTAAAAATCCTAGAAGAGAACAGTGTATTTCTATGTATTCCCTCCAATGACTATCCGATAACTTTCATGTGTAAAGGCAGTATGAGGTAAGGAAAAATGCAGCATGTGTGCTTGAACCCACGCACTACCAATTAGGCTCCTGCTAAGTTTTGTTCACACAGTTTGCTCATCAGGCTTAATTTTGGTGTTTTTATACCCCAAAAGTTCTTGGGAGGATTAAGGGAGACAAGAAGGCCACTCTATAAACTGTGAATTTTATACAAACATTATTATTACTAAGTGCAATCTCCAGCTCATCAAAGCTACTAGTCTCTAAACTAGAATGACCTGTACTTTTTAGGCCCACAGTCATGATGGGGATTTCTCAACCAACGACAATGTGATACATGGCTCTAGAGAACCATTAATTTGCCTATAAATCACTCCGTCTCATTCCTGTAAAATGATCTAAGGATTCGGAAGGCTAGATCTAGGCCACATTAACTTTCACATCATGCTTGTTTTAAAAAATGTAATGGCTTTAATACATGAAGTTTATCTCACAATTTCAAAATTCTATGCTAAAAAATCCAAACTGCATAACCTTAGTTCCAGCTCTTCCCACAGCTGCAATTAACACCACTAGAAAGTTTAGATAAACATTTCCCATCCTATTTGAGAAACACCCTAGAAGAGGTTAGGAATTACTTCCCATCAAAATCAGGACACTGGTACTCAATGAGATAAATTACAGACAGGTTTTTCCCCTTAACTGGACTATATATAATTTGGAGAACTAAAGACAGTTTGAAAATAAGAGCTCTGATATCTTTAAGACTTTATTAGAGTCTTTTATAACAGCAATAATAAAAGGGCAGGGGGAGACAGCCTGAAACATTACACAGCACTGAACACAAAAAAATTATCATAGGTTTTTCATGTATCCCACCCAACCTCAGTATCGGAATACAATTTCTTCTAATTCTTAGAATAGTTTATTTTTTAGTATCTTGGAATAATGTTATATATATTCAAGACATACCATGGATTAAAATAATTCATAACACTTAAAACAGAAAATAAAATGTGTCTGGACTAGAAACCAACCAATAGACAAACATGATACATGCAGGGTGGCAGTCTGCTCCTCTAAATAAATCTCATCATGCAATCTATCCTTCAGGGAACAGGGGAAAATCAGCTGGGGAGAAATCACCTGAAATACCTTTGGGAAGGTAAATAACTATTATTAAGGCTTGAAACAAAGTAATATTAAATAAAAAAACCTTTCCCAAAATCATATAAAGAATAGGACATGGATCTGCAAATGGCACCTGAAGCAGTTTTTCATTAGCACCTTGCTGTGTGTGATGTTAGAAAGTTTGGGGGTTCAACAAATGAAAACACCTAAAGGATTAACATTACAGGGTTAGACAAGATGGAAAGCATTTCCCATGCAAGAATGAGCAGGATAGTCAAACCTGTACTGGTCCCTTCTACTGTGGAAAGCACAAAACAAAAAGTAGAGGGTACACTATCAGATGAAGCAAACATGTGAAAACCAGTTTGATTTTTAAGCAGCTCAATTTAAGAAGACTCATTCTTACTCAGTATTAGCATTAGCAAAATCTTTTACATAGTCTCCATTTCATCGTGAGATTATTCAAACAGTTAAAAGTTCTTTTCTCTCTTGGAATTTATCCCACCCACATTCTATTGGAGATCTCTCAAGACTATAAGAGTAGGGAAGAAAGAGAAAAAATACCTCTTCCTAAGAATAAAGGATTCCCCAGATGCCAAGGTATGGACCAGAATATACATCCGAAAGCATGACTAATAAGCTTCTTAGCCAATGCCCTAGCCAGAACGACCCAAAAATCTCTCCAAGGCAGGCCTTACCAGTGGGAGGCTGTCCATAAGAAGTTGCATAGGCGGTCTGCCCATAGGTTGCAGTGGTCTGAGCCTGGGTATAGCTGACATCAGTGGGCTGTCCATAGGTTCCATAGCTTTGTTGCCCATATGCCTGCTCCAAAAAAAAACGAATGCAAGAACTTCATACATGAACTTTTGTATTTTAGCAATAAAATGGACTAAATTGGAGAACCAAAATCAAAAACATTCCTTTCTAGAAGATTAAAAAAACAAAACAAAAACAACAAAACAAGACAAATAATCACAGTATCATGAATGTTATCCCTTATCTGGTTCACTCATATTATGGTAAAGTTAGCTACGGAAAAAGCTCATTAGGTAAGTAGGCAATGTCATTCACAGCTTCTCAAAAGGGGGAAAAAAAAGATAATCAGGCAAAACCTCAGTTAACTATACATGAGATTAACAAGACACTCTCAAGGGAAGAGCAATAAGGGCACAGGTGTATTAACTGCTAGCACTTAGCGTAGCACAGTTTTAGTGATTGGAAACAAAAGGTACGAAGACAAATGAACAGAGAAAGCAATGAAGAGGGCTAAAATCTGTCAGAAAAAATTGAAAACCAGATTTTCAGCCTGACAAAAAGACTTTAAAACTACTATACCACTTCAAAGAAAATGAACCAGAACGCTGTATGTCCTCTTATGGTGGGCACATCAAGAGTACTGTCTTTTGAACTTAGACATCCATAATACTTAAAATCAGGCAAGGAAGAGTTGTTCTTTCAGATATTAGCATGATTATTCTCTAGGTTTGTTTAAATGACCAGTTATGTAAGATCTGCCAGAGACATCACATTCTGCTTGTCCTAGAACATGTTTCCATGGCAGTTATTAGTATCCATTTTATGGCATGGATCATTTCAGAATTCAACATTATCTTGAAAACACTAGAAGGCTAATTTCTAGAATCTGTTGGCCTAGGCTTTTCAACAGACTCTTCACTGGAAAGAGCTCAGCAGCTCCTTGGCTAGGTCGCCAGTTTTTAGAGCTAACCCCGCCACTTACTGTGCAACCACTGGCAAGTTACTTAATATCTATGCACTGCAATGTTCTCCTCTGCAGAATGGTCATATCATCCTCTTCCTTTGCAGAATTGCTATGATGAATAAATTCACTAAATTTAAACATAATGAAGAAGGACCAAGCATGGAACAGGGCACCTAACTTGAGAAATCATATTAAAAAGTTATAAAGAGTCAATTATCAGCTTCTGAATGGTTTCATTTATGATGGCACAATGGAGTCCTTCGCACTCCCACTGTGAAAGTTTAAAATGCCTGGGTATTTTACTATTCCAAACACATTACTCATTTGTTTTACTGGATAACTGAAAGATAACTGGATAATATACTGATTTTACTTGGAGGTGCAGCTACATGTAATTATTTTAAAGATTACCTGGGTGGTCTGTGCATATCCTTGAGTGGGCTGGGCGGTGTAAGCACTGTAGCTGCAAAAGAATTAAATGCAATAACTTGAATAGAGAACATTCAAATACCACCTCTACAATTATAGAAGGCTCCATATTCAAAAAATATTAATCACACACAAAATACGGTTATAAAAGACTGACTTACCCCTGCTGCGCTGCAGCTTGGCTATAGGTACTGTAATCTAGAGGAAAACAAGGAGGAAAAATAGTGTAAAGTTAGCAGAAACAAGGAGAAGAGAAAAAAGGGGGAAAGAATTCACGTGGCAGGAAGAATTCTTTAAACTGTAGGGAGACCTGCCAACACAGGTCCAAATGAGTCCCCCTTACCTCTCAACATCTAACAGAAAAAAAAGTCTAAACCAGTTAAACTCAACATTTGACTGTGGGACTAGCTAATGAGGTCAAGATCAGCTGATTTGGCAGGTATACTTTTTATGTTCCCATGACCACAAAACCCATCCCAATCCCAACTGTCATTTAAAATACAGGATGATCATCAATATCACAGACTGACAACAAGATCTACTAACAGGATCAGAAGTTTCTACCCTCATATAAAACGGAGGCATGCAACAATAATACAAAGTTTAACACTAGATTGGTTACGTTAGAACCTACCTCTCCTCAAAAATTAGTTTTCACTCCCCTCACTTTAGCAAGTTAGACAAACCATCATTCCCTAGCTCAACGACAGTGAAACGGAATGGCAGACAAGAAGGCAGTCACCACACTCCAGTGTTTTAAAGGGTTTGCTGTGTCAGAACTATATTTGTGCAGCAACTTAAAAGCTAGATATATTATAAACCCTGGTGAAGCAGAGCTAAGGCAGAACCCTGAAGACTGGCAAAGAAGAAAAAGCATTTAGTCTTTCTGGGAAAAATTTGGTAACACCATTGTCTTTCATACAACTCAAAATGATTTCAACTTAAAAAAAAGACATGAATTTTCATCCCTTATCTAAGTAAACCTCCCTATAATTTTCCTTTTCCTATGAAATTTATAACATGCATCCAAAGGGACCAAAAACTGGTCCACTGAGGTGTCTACAAGTAGTAAAAACAAACGGAAAATAGTTTTCAGAGCGCTACTGCATTAAAGTTAGATAAATTTAGTTTTTTTTTAAAGGCAGTTAAAGTAATTATTTTTGAAAATTCTGCCCAATTCTTTCTTCTCCACAAGAACACATATCTTGTTCTGTCTGAAGACAGTACTGCCATTAGGACGGAAAAAAGGGGTCCTTTATTTTCCAATCAGAAAGTAGTCCCTCATCCAAAACCAACAATTGACAGCTCTTCATGGCATCCACTTCATGGAATCCAAAGCCAGCCTCACAATCCCTCGGCGGCCTGAGAGAGCTTTGCTGAATCCATCTCTTCACGTTGGCTTATCTGCCTACCTCTCTGTACTTTACTGGACTACTTTCTTTCCTTTGTACACACTCTTAACTCAAAACCCTGAATCACCAAGAGGAACAAATCAACTGCCCAAAGGCTAACCTATAATGAAAAAAATAATCTGTTCATGACAATCTTAAAGGCATTTTCAATAGCACTACAAGTCATACTCTCTCTGACATTAAAACTAAATGCAGATCATTTTTTCCATGTGGCATCTACAAAATAAACACAGCAATGAATCATTTAACATCAAATATTTTAACCCACGTTTTGTTGAGGTCTTTGCTTGAGAAGTGATTGTAAATCACTGTCATGTAAGTTCAACGTTTGCAAGACGACTTTTACGCAAGAGCAGTTATGTAAAACATCAAACTGGCAAAGCTGATATGGAACAACCAATGACCTCTTATCAGTGAGAAACCACAGGATTCGGCCCTATACTAACTGGTGGGCTATAGAAGGTAGCAAATTTGTTTCATGAACTTACATTTATCTTCCTAGAGCACACAAACATCACAGGCCCTCAAGCAAGCTATTAGGTTGATGCAAACGTAATTACTTTTGCACCAACCTAATACAATTACAAACTGGTCAGATTATTCAGCAACCGTGTTCGTTTTTAACCCCCAAAAGTGAGCCACTGACTTCACTAAAAATCACTTCACTGTGATTGAGCGCTGGGGGTTCTAGATTGCTGCGAGTCTGCATTCCAATTCTTTGTTGCACTGGATATATATGCTTTACGTACTTTTCTACATGAGATAACATACGAGGAGAGAAAACTTCTATTATTAACCCAAGGCAACGGTTTAACACTTTAGAGCAGTCACTATGGAAGCTGCTTCACACTACCTGAGTTGAGCTTCACAGTACCTGAGCTGAAGTCAGCATAGGACAAATTTGTGGAATGCTTATGCTGGAAGGTCAGAAGGGCTCAAAAGCTTAAGAGGTCTAGCCTAACTTCTGTATTTTACAGGAAAGGAAACTAAGGACCAGATTACTTATGTGACTCTCTGAAGGCCCCCCCAGCCAGGCCTAATGTGTTTACTTTGTGTCAACAGAAACCACAACTGTAATTCTAATACAGTACAGCACATGGTAGTTACTGGTGAACAAGGTTTGAACAAAGTTGACTGAAAAAAGGCACGTCCAGCCACGCAAAAATGTCAACGCACACGTTTTGCCTTTTCAGGCTTTTGCAGAGCAGAAGAGGGTGGATAGGGCACCTAGGAAACCACTTCCCACCGGGAGGTTAGCTGTGGTATTTCAGTCCTCTCTTCTACCGGCACTCTTTGGTATCCACTCTTTGGTATCCCGGCACGAACAGCCAACACTTACCTGTTTATTGACCACAGATGGGGAGAATTCTTAAACTGTCCTTAAGTTGCTGGATTCTGGACTCCAAAAACTCTGGAGTGCCCAGAACTTTTCCTGTCTTCCTTCTCATCTTCTCCCACTGTCTCTAAGGCCTGGAACCAGGTGGCCTGAGAATACCCCCGGGGCAAAAATGCTCCACCCTGCCAATTTTCGCGGGTTAGTGTACCCACAGATTGCGAACTGCAGGTGATGGCTAGGCGACACTCTTAAACGCTCCTTCCATCAAGGACCACTCTACTCCCATTTTGGAGTTCCCAACCGGGGCTTGCTTGCAAGTGCCTTTAAGATTGCTTCTACTGGCCTTTTTTCCCCTCTCCTCTGTCGACCTACGAAATCAACAGGCCTGCCGGCCTAACGCAGGCGAATAAACGTGCGAGGCCACTGCTGAAACATAATTCAAATGAAGGCTCGGCCTTTTGTTCCTCCTAGGTCAGAGAGACCAGAAATATCTTTCTGGTAGCGTTTCTCGTCTCTCGACCCAGGCTGGCCTTATTATACAACGGATGTCCCTCGGCGTTTGCAGAAAAAGGGCCCTGGGAAGCCACTTAATTGGTTTTGGGGGAGGGGAGGACGTGGATTAATAACGATAAAAATGGAGAAGCCCAAGAAAGCGGCAAACTGGGGGCCCTGGAGGAGGGAAGCACATTCTGTCTAAAGCCCAGGCGAGCAGAAGTTCGGCTTGGGGCTGGAAGCCACAGAGGGGGCAGCTCGGCAGCGCCAGACGCCCCAGCCGACTGGGTCTTAAGGATGACGGGGCTCCCGCTCATAGGCCGGCACCCCTCGGCCCACAAATCCACGGTATCTTTATTTGCTTTTTCCCCTGGTTTCTCAGGAAACCCTGAAAACGGGGAGGGAGGCCTCACAGGGACAGCAGCCTGCGGGCCCCCCGGCGGTTTCATAGTGACCGGCTTGAGGCCTGGCCAAATCCTCCCCTTCACGCAGGGCCTCGAAGGCCGCAGGCCCCGCCCACGTGGCGGGAGGCCCGGAGCTCAGGGCGCGAGGACCGCCACACAATGGAGGCCAAGGCGGGCCCCGCGCGCCCCCGCCGCAGCAAGCCCCCCGCGCGCCACGGGCGCCGGAAGATTCCAGAACCGGCCCGCCCGGTTGGGGGAGGGGAGAGGAATGCGGATCCCCGAGCTCGTCGGGCCGCGGCGGGTGCCTCAACCCCCTCTCGGCAACTCCACTCAGTCTTCCCAGCCAAGCCCAGAGACGAACGACCCCCAGTTTGGGCGTTCCGGCTACCGCCGGCGCGACCGCAGTTCCACCATACTCACCCGTGGACGCCATTTTCTCTCCTTCCTCCTCGTTCTCTCAACGTCCGTCTCCCTCTCGCTTTCCCTCTAGGCGCCGCACTGCGCAGGCGCAAATCTCGCAACCCCGGGCGCGACCATCGGGCCAGGCCACGGGGGTGGGGTCAGGAGGGATGAACCACCGCTTACTCGTTCTTCGCGTCCGCAACTCTTGTCCCAGTCCTCTCTAAAGAGCGCCCGACGTGACACTCGGGCCAAAATAGCATCTAAGGGGCCAGAGCGGGGGTGAGCGGGTCTCAGCGTGAAACCGGAGAGGCTCTCAGCACGAGACTAGGCTGTTTGGAATGGTTCCGTCCGCTGGCTCTAGGGACGGTCGCTGAAGAGTCGGCCCTGCAGGGAGACGGAGATCGGCGGGAGGGCTGGGGGAAGGGACCCGGACTAGAACAACTGCTGACTAATCCGCGGGCCGCGGGGAATGGGTGGCGCGCCAGCCGGTCGGCAGGGGTCACGCGGCCGGGTGTGCGCGGAATGGATTCAGGGTTCTCGGGTCGCGCCCGGGAGCTAGAGTCCTGACTCCCAGCCGGGGTCCCCGACCGGCCTTTCGGGGTTGCCGGGCGCGCTCTGCAGTGAGTACCCGGGACGCGTGGCCCGGGCCAGCGGGGAAGGGTCCCCAAGGCCGGTCGGCTGGGTGGGAGGCCTCGAACGCCGTGCCTGGCCCCGAGACCCTATCCCCGGTAACGGTCGAGGT
This sequence comes from Homo sapiens, assembly GCF_000001405.40. Classification (NCBI taxonomy): domain Eukaryota; kingdom Metazoa; phylum Chordata; class Mammalia; order Primates; family Hominidae; genus Homo; species Homo sapiens. The sequence goes on along the minus strand of NC_000022.11, from coordinate 29,267,625 downwards.
GGAGCAGGCCCTTTAATCATCCCTCATCCGATATCCTTGTTTCTACAGAAGGGGAAACTGAGGCCCAAGGAAATTGAGTATCTCTGCAAAGTCACCAGCTGAGTTCGAACCAGACAGATCCTGGGACCCCCTACTCTATCCGCCACCGGAAGAATCTCCGTCCTTGTCTTTCCATTCTGCCCTCCCGGCTTCCCAGTAAGGTAGGCAGGGCCTGGTGGTGCACTGCCCCGTTTCATAGATTGAAGAAAGTGAGGTCCAGGGGGCTCAAGTCCCAGTTCCGAGTGTCCACGGGTAAGCCCTTCACCCTTGCTAAGGTGCCCAGAGCTGGGGAATGGTTGTGAGGTGTCGATGCAGGAGGAGGTTTACGGTGGGTGCCTTGGCCCCAAACCCTGCCTCCAGGCAAGGCTGACCCTGCCCACCTTCCTGGACCTCTAGCCCCAGCCCCCTAGGTGGATGCCCGGGTCCGCGAAGGGCAGGGTTCACCTTCAAATCCCTCGGCAGGACCAGGAGCCAAGCTAGTGTCCTTTTTTCAGTGAACATATATAAAGCACTGGCTGTGTGCTGTGAATACCCTGGGGAATGTGGGGTTGGATCAGAGGAGCCATGAGCTCAGACCACCTGCCTAGGGAGACAGACTGGCCAAGCTGTGCTCCTAAGGATAAGATCCATGATGTTAGGGGGCCAGAGGAGGGGAAGGGATATTTGAGCTGGGCTTCCAAGGGTGAAATAGGAGTTTGCCTGCTGGCAAAATGGAGGGAAGGACAATGCAGGCAGAGGAGCTTTCCACATTTTTCCTGCAGGAAACTGGTAGATGTGGAGAAGGCGCTTGGCAGGGGAGCAAATTAGGCAGCCTTCTTGTCTCTCTGGGATCCTGCTTCCTGCCCTGAATCAGCTCAGTGGGAGTCCTGGGACCGAGAGGCCTGACCAGGGGTGAAGACCTACAGGCCCTGGAGGACAGGCTGGATGCAAGAGAACAGCACGGGGGAGAAGGCCTTGCTTTGGTGGGCAGGGAAAGGCCATGTTTGAGGGCCAAAGCTGGGACCAGCTAGGCTGGAGCAGCCACCTCCATATTGAGGCCTTCTCGATGGGCCAGTTGGTGGCTACAGACGCCTGCCATGATTAGTGCGGATTGCTATGGTTTATGGAGGAAGAGTTGTGGGCCAGGGCCTGCCTTAGCCTATTCCTTTTTATTTCATCATACTCTGAGGAAAAGAATTTATGAATTTCCATTTTACAGATGAGAAAGGAGAGGCTCATCTGTAAAATGAGGCTCATCTGTAAAAAGATGAGGTTGGAAACTTGCCTCAGGACACAGAGCAGAAAGAGGTGGAGCGCATACTGTACCCTTCCTGTGGAAAGGGGAGCCAGGGCCAGAGGGGCTGTGCCAGTAAGGAAGCAGGAGGAGGCTTACAGTGGATGGGTTCACCCTCAAAGGGGATGTCTCAGTCGCAGGTCTCTGAGTATGGCTCAAGATGTGGGACTTCTGCCCATCTGCCCTACCCCTTACCCTGTCGGCTTGCCCATTGTCTGGCCCCACCCCAGGGTCAAGGGCAACTGAAACCATCTGGAGCATTAAGGCTGGGAACAGGGGAGGGGAGGAAGGAGGGAGGTAGTAGTCTGAGGGAAGGGGGAGGACAGAAGAGGGCTAGAGATGGCCCTGAATTCGCCCTGGGGGGTGAGGGCCTGAACCCCTCTTTTTGGGAGTTCAGGGCCTATCAGGACTCAGAAGTCTCTATGCCTGTCCCCTGCCAGTCCTTAAACAGAGGTGAGTGGAATGGTAAGATGGCTTATGAGCGCATGGGTTAGGGTCTGAGCTCCACTAAGGCCAAGCTGCTGGGCCTGCGTCTCCAGCCTGTTTCCACCTCTGTAAAATAGGGCTGTTGATAAGGTGCTTGAGAGGGTATTGGTGAGATAAAAGCTCCAGTAATAACTTGTTATTGTTTTCTTTTATCCCCAGCACACAGCCCCAGGACCACCCTTGACCGTCCTCAACCAAGCGATGCATGCCAGGGGCCCCCATGGCCAACTGTCCCCAGCACTGCCTCTGGCCTCCTCAGTCCTGATGCTGCTGATGAGCACCCTGTGGCTGGTGGGGGCCGGCCCCGGCCTGGTCCTGGCCCCGGAGCTGTTGCTGGACCCCTGGCAGGGTGAGGGCCAGCCACGTGGACCTTGGAGGAAGCAGGAGACTTGCTGTAGGGCCTGGGCCCACTTGGCAGGAGCAGCACAAGGCCTCCAGGGGTCAAACAGGGATGGGGCCCAGTGTCCCGGGAAAGCATGGCCTTAGACAGGAGCATGCCCAGCACATCCACAGCCAAGAAGGGAGGCAGAGGACTCCCTAGGGTGGGCTGGAACCTATGGGTAGGAGTGCTTTTCTCATGGTTTCCCTTTCTAGCAGCTTTTCCTTGAAATAAGAACTAAGGCCAGGTGGCTGACGCCTGTAATCCCAGCACTTTGGGAAGCTGAGGCAGGTGGATCACTTGAGGTCAGGAGTTCGAGACCAGCCTGGCCAACATGGTTAAACCCTGTCTCTACTAAAAATACAAAAATTGGCCGGGCGCAGTGGCTCACTCCTGTAATCCCAGCACTTTGGGAGGCCGAGGCGGGCGGATCACGAGGTCAGGAGATTGAGACCATCCTGGCTAACACGGTGAAACCCCGTCTCTACTAAAAATACAAAAAGATTAGCTGGGCGTAGTGGCGGGTGCCTGTAGTCCCAGCTACTCGAGAGGCTGAGGCAGGAGAATGGCGCGAACCTGGGAGGCGGAGCTTGCAGTGAGCCAAGATCGCGCCACTGCACTCCAGCCTGGGTGACAGAGTGAGACTCCATCTCAAAAAACAAAACAAAACAAAACAAAAAAACAGCTAAGACTTTCAACTAAGCATCAGGATGGGAGGAGGAGGTGTTGGGGTTTTGAGGAGTGACCTCAGCTGAGCACCTGTTTCCCAATAATAACTCCTCCAATTTGTATTTGAGGACCCCCAATGATGCTCAGAGAGGTTAAGTGATTTGACCAGGGTCACACAGCTTGAGGGAATGGGGTAGCTCCAGGATTGAAGCAGGCCATTTCATGCTCTCAGCCAGGTATGATTTAGTAAATACAGAAGCAGAGTACCTTCATGGTGTCTGGGACATAGTGAGTGCTCTGTAGCGGGTTGTCAGTGAAAAGACTGAGTGGCACGTCCAGTGTATTCTGTTTAATACCACAGAGGCGTAGCCACAGTGTTTGGAAGTCCTTGGTCCCTTCCACCAATGATTAAGTGCTGGCTGTGGGAAGACTGGCTCCTGGGGAGGGGAGGTGGGCTCAGCAGGTGGCCCTGGTGTAGCGTAACCTTCAACCTGGCACACCTGGGACAGCCTTGGATGTTGGGGCCACTAACCTGGCACATAAGCCCCTTCTCTCTCCCAGTGCACCGGCTGCTGACCCATGCCCTGGGCCACACGGCCCTGCCAGGCCTGCTCCTGAGCCTGCTGCTCCTGCCCACTGTGGGCTGGCAGCAGGAGTGCCACCTGGGCACGCTGAGATTCCTGCATGCCTCAGCCCTGCTCGCCCTGGCTTCTGGGCTGCTGGCAGTGCTGCTGGCAGGCCTTGGGCTGTCCAGTGCAGCCGGCAGCTGTGGATACATGCCTGTCCACCTGGCCATGCTGGCTGGGGAGGGACACCGCCCTAGACGGCCCCGTGGGGCACTGCCACCGTGGCTGTCGCCGTGGCTGCTGCTTGCCCTGACCCCACTGCTCAGCTCTGAGCCACCCTTCCTGCAGCTCCTTTGCGGCCTCCTTGCCGGCCTGGCCTGTATCCTTTGCCTGAGCCCAGGGCCCGTGGGGATGTGTGGGTTCTGTGGGTGGGTGCCTGGGAAGGAAGTGGCACAAAGGGGTGAAGGCCCAAGCAATACCAAGGAGCCGTGCACACACATTCCAGGAGCTTCTCTGAGTCTTCCTCTGGGACATGCTCTGGGCTGGGACCTGGGGTCTTATGGCCTGGTGGAGGTGCCAATTACAATGTAAAGGGCTACGTGGGCTCCCTGTAATATCAATGCCATTCTTCGCAGAAATAGAAACAATAACCCTAAAATTTATATGGAACCACAAAAGGCCCAGAATAGCCAAACCACCCTGAGCAAAAATTAAAAATTAAAAAAATTAAAAGCCTGACCGGGCGCAGTGGCTCACGCCTGTAACCCCAGCACTTTGGGAGGCCAGGCGGGCAGATCACTTGAGGTCTGGAGTTCAAGACCAGCCTGGCCAACATGGTGAAACCCCATCTGTACTAAAAATAAAAAAATTAGGCCAGGCGCGATGGCTCATGCCTGTAATCCCAACACTTTGGGAGGCCAAGGTGGGCGGATCACGAGGTCAGGAGTTCGAGACTAGCCTGGCCAACATGGTAAAACCCCATCTCTACTAAAAATACAAAAATTAGCTGGGCGTGGTGGCGTGCACCTGTAATCCCAGCTACTTAGGAGACTGAGGCAGGAGAATCACTTGAACCTGTGAGGCAGAGGCTGCAATGAGCCGAGAACATGCCACTGCACTCCAGCCTGGGCGACAGGGCAAGACCCCGGTCTCAAACCCCAAAAAACAAAAATTAGCCAGGCGTGGTGGCAGGCGCCTATAGTCCCAGCTACTTGGGAGACTGAGACAGGAGAATCACTTGAACCTGTGAGGCAGAGGCTGCAATGAGCCGAGAACATGCCACTGCACTCCAGCGTGGGCGATAGGGTGAGACTCCGGTCTCAAACCCCAAAAAACAAAAATTAGCCAGGCGTGGTGGCAGGCGCCTGTAGTCCCAGCTACTTGGGAGACTGAGACAGGAGAATTGCTTGAATCCGAGAGGCAGAGGCTGCAGTGAGCCAAGATAGCGCTGCTGCACTCCAGCCTGGGCGAGAGAGCGAGACTTCCTCTCAAAAAAAAAGAAAATTAAAAGCCTAAGTGAATGGAAAGATCTCATGTTCACGGATTGGAATACTTAATATTGTTAAAATGGTAATGCTACTCAGTTGATTTATAGATCCCACACAATTCTTATCAAAATCTCAGCTGTCTTTGTTGTTGTTGCAGAAATTAGCAAGCTGGTCCTAAAAATAATATGGAAATGTAAAGAACCCAGAATACCTCAGATAATCTTGAAAAAGAAAAGCAAACCTGGAAGACTTACACTTTTCAATTTCAAAACTTAAAACTACAAAAGTGGCCAGGTGCGGTGGCTCACACCTGTAATCCCAGCACTTTGAGAGGCCGAGGCAGACAGATCACTTGAGGTCAGGAGTTCAGGACCAGCGTGGCCAACATGGTGAAACCCCATCTCTACTAAAAATACAAAAATTAGCCAGGTGTGGTGGCACACGCCTGTAATCCCAGCTGCTCAGGAGGCTGAGGCAGGAGAATTGCTGGAACCCAGGAGAGAGGTTGCAGTGAGCTGAGATTGCACCACTGCCCTCCAGCCTGGGCGACAGAGCAAGACTCTCTCCAAAAAAAAAAAAAAAAAAAAGCCGTACAAAATTATAATAATCAAGATATTGTGGTACTGGCATCAGGATAGACATACAGATCAATGGACTAGAATTGACCATCTAGAAATAAACTGTTAGATTTACTGTATAGTCAATTTATTTTGACAAGAGTGCCAAGTCGATTCAATGAGGAAAAGAATATTCTTTTTAATAAATGGTGCTAGAGGCTGGGTGCAGTGGCTCACGCCTGTAATCCTAGCACTTTGGGAGGCTGAGGTGGGCCGATTTCTTGAGGCCAGGAGTTTGAGACCAGCCTAGCCAACATGGTGAAACCCTGTACTAAGAATACAAAATAATTAGCCAGGTGTGATGGCACGTGCCTGTAATCCCATCTATTCGGGAAGCTGAGGCAGGAGAATTGCTTGAACCTCGGAGTTGGAGGTTGCAGTGAGCCGAGATTTCACCACTGCATATCAGCCTGGGTGACAGAGTGAGACTCTGTCTCAAAAATAAATAAATAAATAAGTCGTGCTAGAGCACTCTTTATTGGTGTTCTGCTTCTGAGATTTTTTTTTTAATTTTTAGAGACAGGGTCTCATTCTGTCACCCAAGCTGGAGTGTGGCGACGCCATCATAGCTCACTACAGCCTCAAACTCCTGGGCTCAAGCGATCCTCTTGCCTCAGCCACTTGAGTAGCTGAGATTACAGGTGTGCACTGCCACGTCCAGCTAATTTTAAAAATTTTTTGTAGAGACGGGGTCTATGTTGCCCAGGCTGGTCTTGAACTCCTGGCCTCAAGTGATCCTCCCGTCTCAGCCTCCCCAAGTGCTGGGATTATACAGCTGTGAGCCACTGCGTCCAGCCCTAAGATGATTCATACCTATCGGGGAAAACAGTGCCACTGGAGAGAACAGGCTGGCCTCTGCACTCTGGATTGGTGACAGGAGTTATCCAGGCCTGTCTGAAGGCAATAGCAGGTGTGTCCATGGGACTTCTTCCAGGACGGGTGGGTCTTGAGTTACAGACCTGAAAAGGTGCATAGGGTTCTGGGAACAGAGTGGGTCACGGGTGAGCCCAGGCCTTGGGGTGAGGCATACCTGGCTCTGTTTGGCTGAGTAGCTTCAGGCAGATCCCTTTTCCTTTCTGAGCCTCTGCTGCTGACCAGGGTGACGCTATTCCATGCTGGTCCACAGTGAGGAGACGGGAGGGAATGGTGGCCAGCACACTTGGCATGGGGCCTGGCCTGTGGCGTGGGCCCACCCCTGGCTGCTTTTGGTTTTCCTTGACCGGCCGCCCTGCCCCGGGCAGACAGATGCAGCTGGGGCCTTCCGGTGGCTGGAACCCTCAGAGCGACGGCTGCAGGTGCTGCAGGAGGGCGTCTTGTGCAGGACCTTGGCGGGGTGCTGGCCCCTGAGGCTCCTTGCCACCCCGGGTAGCCTGGCGGAGCTGCCTGTCACCCATCCTGCCGGAGTGAGGTGAGGGTGATGGGGGGGATGCCAGTCCAGGTGGTGGGCACTGTGGCAGGGCTGCCAGTCAGGCCCTCTTCTCTTCCCACTCCTCCAGGCCTCCCATCCCTGGACCGCCTTATGTGGCCTCCCCTGACCTCTGGTCCCACTGGGAAGACTCAGCCCTGCCCCCACCAAGCCTGAGGCCTGTGCAGCCCACCTGGGAGGGCTCCTCAGAGGCAGGCCTGGACTGGGCTGGGGCCAGCTTCTCCCCAGGGACTCCGATGTGGGCGGCCTTGGATGAGCAGATGCTGCAGGAGGGCATCCAGGCCTCGCTTCTTGACGGGCCAGCCCAGGAACCCCAGAGCGCACCATGGCTGTCCAAGTCCTCTGTCTCCTCTCTGCGGTAAGGTGGGGTGGGCAGAGGTGGGGTCCCCTGGTATAGGGGCCGGGGTGGCCCTGACACTCCCCACTTCTCCCCCCACCCCCAACAGGCTGCAGCAGCTGGAGCGCATGGGCTTCCCTACGGAGCAGGCGGTGGTGGCACTGGCAGCCACAGGCCGTGTGGAGGGTGCCGTGTCACTGTTGGTTGGAGGACAAGTGGGCACTGAGACCCTGGTGACCCATGGAAAGGGTGGGCCTGCCCACTCCGAGGGTCCTGGGCCTCCCTAGCCCAGGCAGAGAGTGGGGCACAGGCAGGCCCTTGGGTGCTAAGGGCTGGGCTGCATGTGGGTAGCCCGAGCTCCTACTCTGTCTAAAGAGGGCCACAGTGGGGAGCAGGGGCACCTCTGGAGGCAGGAGAGGCCCCCCAGCATGCTGCCCTAGTACGTGTTTAGAATAAAAACCAGTTTGTTTTTCAACCTGGACCTCCTTGGAGGCAGCAGTTGTGTTTGACTCTTCTGTGTTGGCATCAGGGGGATGAATGAATGAGTGAGCACCAAATGAATGACCAGTTGTGGGAGAGCTGTTCCCTGATGTCCAGAGACACAGGCTTCCTGGCCCTGCACCTTGCAGCCTATACCTCCAGGAGGCTCTGTCCTCCAGCACAGAGCATTCTCCACCGCCCATTTCTAGCCCTCTCCGTCGTAGCCTCATTCCCAGCTGCCCCCATCTAAGCACACACTGAGACCAAGCTGCGGGGAATCAGGTAGGGGCCTTTATTGGCCAGCACACATCTACCTCCTGGCATCTGTCACAAGCATTTGCAGGAGTAGGCGGCCCCTTCCTCTCCATGTCCCCATCCCCAACCTGAGATGCGGGAGGGCCTGGGGGCTCAGAGGGAAGAACTGAGGCAAGAAGCCCCCGGTGATCCAGTCAGAGGATTGGGCAGCCTGACCTCGGGGTGGGGAGCCCAGCACTGGACAACAAGGAGGGAGGGGCACAGGAGGGCTCCCCGAGGTTTGGTCGGGGAGGGGGAGGAAGACTGCCCCCTGCCCTGTCATCTCTGCATGTGCCGAGCCCCAGCTCCTGACTCCCTCAGTGCCTTTGGGCCTGGATGCTCAGACAGCAGATGAGACGAAGCCTTGTACCTCTATCCCTCCTTGAAGGCCTGCCTCCCCCCACTTCACAGAGGGAAACTGAGGCCCAAGCCTCTCCTCTCAGCCCTTGCTCAGCCTCAGACATGTGCATGGTGCCAGGACTGAGACCTGCTTACCCCTAAGGCCTAGATGGCAGAAGGGACCCTGAGGACATTAATAAATATGGACGGGCGGTCCCTGGAGGCAGCTGGCCGAGTCCAGGTAGGAGGGGAAGCCTGGCCTGGTCTGCCTCAGGGGCCGCCACCACCCTCAGCCTCTCTCGTCCCGGCTCCTGGGGGCCACGATCCGGTAGTTGGTTGCATGTCCGCCCCTCTTGCCCCGAAGGAGGCTGGGGGTGCCTGTGCCGGCAGGGCCCGCCCCAGACCCCAGCTCTGGTTCTGCCGGAGGGAAGAAGGAGAGAGGCCACATTAGAGGGGTTCATGTGAGGTGCCCACCTCCCCTTGGCCCTCTAGGGGGTGGCAGAACCGGGCACGCTCTGCCAGGTATAATCCACCCTGGTATCTGGCTGCAGAGCTGTGGGAAAGGGGGTCTGCAGATTGGTTGGTGCCTCACGCCAGGACTTACCAGCCCCCCAGCCCAAGGAGAGCACTCAGGGCCTCTGCTTCCTGCTTTGTCAGGTGGGGATAACCACACCCACCTCCTTTAGGAAGTGTTTAGATGCAGTGAATGCTTCATAGAAAGGCTGCTTCTTTTTCTATTCATTTTGGGGTGGAGGTGTGCCCTGAGTCATCCCCATTTGGTAGCTGGGTAAACTGAGGCCAGGGAACAGACATGGGCTAGGCCACCAGTTGGGGGAAAGAGCTTAGGAGGCCAGGCTCTGCCACTGACCTACTGTGCAGTCTTGGGCAAGCTGGACCTCTGTCAGGGCCTCAGTCATCTCATCTCTGAAACAGGGACAGTTCCGGATGGAACCAGAAAACTACTCATCCTTCAAAACCAAGGGTAGGAGCCATTTCCTCCAGGAAGCCTTCTGTGCCTATCATCTCAGCCCTTCCCAAAGTAAAATGAGCAGGCCAGGCAGGTCAGAAGAATAGGCTGTTTTTCTAGGGGGAGATGGACACTCAGGGAGGAGAGGGCCACGGTGGAGGACTTGGCTAAGCCTCCATAGGACAGATACTTGGGTTCTGGTAAACACCAGGTTCCCACTGAGGGCACTGCCATGGAGTGGGCTGTCCGTCGTAATCATGACTGCCAGTGCCCCGACCCTGTGTGGCCCAGCCTGCCCTGCACCTCTGGGCTGAGTTGAGGGCTCCCGGAGCAGACAGGCATGTGTGGTCACTGAAAGGGACATTCCATGCCTTAGGGAGCGTGGGAGGGGAGTGGCACAGAGCACTGGCCCCAATGCCAGCTGGGATCATGGCTTGGTCCCACTCTGCCAGTTATGTGGCCTTGGGCAAGTCATAGAACCTCTGAGCGTCATCTGGAACGTGGGCATAATAGTCCCATTTTCACACCCTTGTGATACATGTGTTTACCGTGACCAGGACTGGAAAGTGGTTTTCACGGGAAATGCTGGATTATTATGGTTACTAGGTTGGTGTCGCTTCCACCCAGGTCTCCTGCAGGTCTGGCCCCTGTGAGTTTGTCACAATCAAATTTGGGGCCCTGGATGAGTGGCAGAGTCAGCAAACCTTTGCTGATGCAGTCCAAAGGGCCAGGACTTTAGAGGGGAGACCTGAGGTGGACCCCTAGCCTGACCATTCCCATTCCTGTGACTCTGAAGCAGTCACAGGAGCCTCTGAGCTTCTGTTTCTTCACCTGTAAAATGGCCACGGCATCGCTCACCTAGCAAGTTTACTCCTCTAAGAGATTGGAGATGATCAATCCAGCCCAGGTGGGCCAGACACGTGGCAGCTGATACTATTATCATAATTATTGATTATAACCTAAACATGAACCCCATCTGGGTCTTCAGTAGCACCTGATGTGTATGTTGCGCCAATGGGGAGGGTCCCACCTCCTTCCCTGTCCCATTTCCCAGTCCCCCGACCTGTCCCTCCAAGCCCCGACCCAAGCTGGCTTGAGGGGCCACTGGCAGTGGGTGTGGGACTTCTGAGGTGTCTGGCACTTTTCTCCCTGGGCTGTCAGAGACAGAGCTGGCTGAAGGCAGGGACAGATCCAGGGACATGGTGGCTCAAATGTGTCCCTTCTAGCTCCTGCTCCAATCCTCAGAGAGGAGGTGGAGACACCTAAAAAGGTTCTGAGAGCCTGAGATTTGGTCCTTGGCCCCTCTCTGTAAGAGGGGAGGAGGTCTGGGAGCTAGGCACTGAAGTTTCTAGAAGTTAGAGAAGCATGTGGCACTGTGGGAGGAGCTTTGGAAGCAGACCCCACACCCTTCCCAGGCTCTGGGCCTCTGCACAGGCAGGACTCTCTCAAGGCTGCCCGACCCACTTCCCCACCTGGCACACTCATTGGGATCTTCCAGGACGCAACGCAGAGTCCCCTCTTCCAAGAAGCCTTCTCCAACCCCTAGGGACAAGTGACTCTTCCTCATCCATATCCTTCCATGCTCCCCTACCCCATATCTCCGTAGATACGATTCCCTGCCACTCATGGCCAGCTCCCCAAGGCCAGCACCTATCTGTACTCCAGAGCACCAGTGCCCAACAGGTCTGGCTTTCAATGAGTGCTCCCTACAGTTTTGCTGGATGAAGGAGGCTGGGCTCTAACCTTAACCCTTCTTCCTGCTTGGGATCTAAGTTTCTCAGTCTTTTTTTTTTTTTTTTTTTTGAGATGGAGTCTCGCTCTGTCACCCAGGCTGGAGTACAGTGGTGCGGTCTCGGCTCACTGCAACCTCTGCCTCTTGGGTTCAAGTGATTCTCCGCCTCAGCCTCCCGAGTAGCTGGGATTACGGGTGCCCGCCACCACACCCAACTAATTTTTAGTAGAGACGGGGTTTCGCCATGTTGCCCAGGCTGGTCTTGAACTCTTGACCTCAGGTGATCCATACGCCTCGGCCTCCCAAAGTGCTAGGATTACAGGTGTGAGCTAACATGACCGGCCTCTCAGTCTTTAAAATAGATGCGAGGTTGGACATGATATGGAGGCCTCTGTGCACTGATGTGCTCACTGGGCTGCGAGATAGGGCGGCTGGGCAGGTGAGGAATAGAGCTCAGCCCCTCGGGTGGCCAATCCCTTCCTTTCTTCAGGGCCAGCCACAGGCTCCAGTTTCATGGGGAGAGATTTTCTCAGCCTCACTCCCAGGAGCCAGACGCAAGGAGGGGTACCACCCACTGGTGTCTAACCACCTCCTGTACTACCCCAACCTGCCTTCTAGGACCTTCTCAATCTAGGCCCTGCCAGATTCTGTTGCTTCTAGGCTCCTTCTGGTCTCTTGGCCTTCGCTTATGCTGTTTCTCTGCCTGTTCACTCTCCCCAGATCCTTGCCCTTCAAGTCTTCACTTAGATATCACCTCCTCCAGGAAGACCTCCCTGACCCCCCTCCAACCTCCTCTGGGCCAGGCCAGAGGCACTTCTGTATTTCCATGGCTGCCTGTACTCCCTTTCCTGCAGTGTAGCTCACCTGGGTTTCTCTACCAGTGTCAGGGTTCTCCTGAGCCCCCCAGCACCCTACACTCCTCAAGGGCAGGACTGTGTCTGTCTTATCTTGTGGAGCCTGTCCCAGCAAGGTGCCTGGCACAGAGCAGGTGCGCATTCACTCAAGTGACCAGAGCCTTCTCTCTGCCAGGCACCATTTGCTGGCTGGCTGGCTGGATGAAGAATGAGTGTCCGCTGGCCTGGGCCAAGCATCGGAAGGCGCCTTCTGCATGCCCAGGCCTTTTCCAGGCCCTTCCTGGAAGAGGCTGCCCCTGCCTGCCCGCCCTGCCATTACCTGGCCAGATGATGGCTTCCAGGAGGGTGACCCGTCTGGCCAGGAGCTCCAGCTGAGCCTGCTGCTGCAGGAAGCTCTGTAAGCTAGGAGCCTGATGGGAGATGGAGAAGAGCAGACGGTGCGAGTCTGGCCTCCGAGGGCTGGGCTGGGGAGCCAAGCGGGGAGGGTGGGAGGGCACTGCCAGCTGGCGTCAGGGCAGGAGCCTGGGAGTGAGTCTCAGTACTGAGACCTCAGTTTCCCCTCCTATGGTGGGGACAGGGCTGGCCTGGCTCCTCAAATAACCACATGGGTGGAGAGTTTCTGGGTGAATGAATGCCTGGGGTGAGTGAGGGCCTGGCTCTCTTAGTCCCCTAAAGGGACCAACAGAACAGGTTAGGAGGACCAAAGGGAAAACTGCAAAGGGGACACCTGGGACCAGGAGGATCTGCCTTGTGAGAGCCTCTGGGGGCTTATGGGAGAGGAAAGTCAGAACTAGTAGGTGGTGTATTACCCAGAGTCCCCTGGGGCCTGAGCCTAGCTCTGTCACCCACAGTCCCCTGCCCTTCTGGAGTCTTGCTCCATGACCTATTGTCCTGCGGGCCTGACTCTGTTACCCATGATTTCTCTAGAGCTGAAGGCTGACTAGAGTCTGGATCCATTACCTATAATCCTCCTGTTGTCCTGAGCTGTGATTGGATTCCCCATGGTTCCTTGCACTCCAGGAGTCTGGCTCTGTTACCCACAATCCCACTGCTGGAGTGGAGTTTGGTTCCATTGCCCATAATTTCTTCCAAACTTAAAATCTTTCATCTCTGGTTCCCTGCAGGCCTAGAAACCACACTACCCATAATGCTTAGAGGCCCAGGTCTGACCACAGCAGCAGGGCCCGGGTTTCTAGGGCACCCCTGCACCCGTGGAGGAGGGAACCAGTCATTGAGGGAAGGGTGGTTGTGGCCTCTCAGGTCCATGCTTGCCTGGGGCAGGCACCTTCTCCAGCCTCATGACTGGGCTCAGGCCAGTTCCACCCCAGGAGGGCTTGGGGAAGGCTGGCAGGCAGGGGCTGGGCCGTCTGTCCGTCTGTCTGTCTCTACTCACCATAGAGCCCAATCATTGTTTCCAAGATTAAAACCCTCTCAGCTAAAATCTTCAAAGCCTCGCGTAGCTGGTGCAACCCCTCCCCCTGTGGAGGAAAGAGACAGATGCAGCCGTGAAGGGGGCAGGGGAGGGGACCCTGCAAAGCCCGTCGGTGGCCCATGCCCCACCCGGGACATGCACCTGCAGCCCCACACTACCTGCCACAGCCCAGGGTCCATGGACAGCCAGAACAAGACCAGGTGAGGACAGGAGGGGGACAACAAGGCAGACGGAAGGAAGCAACCCCTGCAGGACCTCCCAGAAGGTCCCGTTGGATCCCAGCTGGCTGCTCTCTGACAAGGCCGCAAATCCTGCTGCGCTGAAGGCAGGGGGAGCCAATCTTCAGGGGCAGAACGGCAGTCCCAGAAGCTGCTGGGAGCCCTCCTGTCCTCTAATGTCTGTCGCCCAGCACCAGTTGCTCTCCCAACACCTGCATGACTATATCTCTTGGCCACCTATATGCTTATTTACTTCACATTCTTTTTGCTTTAAATCACCACATTAGCCTCACCCTAATTACTCCGATCAGTGAGTTCAGGCTACTTACCAGTATTTCCACTTATGCCCAAATGAATATATAGATGTTCCTTGACTTTCAATGGGATTTCATCCAGATAAACCCAGTGTAAGTTGAAAATATCACAAGTCAAAAGTACATTTTTTTTTGAGACGAAGTTTTGCTCTTGTTGCCCAGGTTGGAGTGCAATGGCGCGATCTCAGCTCACCGCAACCTCCACCTCCCAGGTTCAAGCGATTCTCCTGCCTCAGCCTCCCAAGTAGCTGGGATTACAGGCATGCACCACCACACCCAGCTAACTTTGTATTTTTAGTAGAGACAGGGTTTCTCCATGTTGGTCAGGCTGGTCTGGAACTCCTGACCTCAGGTGATCTGCCCGCCTCGGTCTCCCAAAGGGCTGGGATTACAGGCGTAAGCCACCGCGCCCAGCCAAACACATTTCTTTTTTTTAAGAGACAAGGGTCTTGCTATGTTGCCCAGGCTGGCCTCGATCTCCTGGCCTCAAGTGATCCTCCTGTCTCAGCCTTCCAAAGTGTTGGGATTACAGGCGTGAGCCACCATCCCTGGCCAAAAAAGTGCATTTTTGACATACAATATTTTCAACTTACGATGGGTTTATTTGGAAGTAAGTTGAGGAATGTACTGAAAGCCTATATTGCTTTCGCACAATTGTAAAGTTGAAAAATTGTAATTTGAACCATCGTAAGCTGGGGACCATCAGTATGTCAATAAAATTAGACAAGGTTTGAGTTACATTGCTTTTGGAGAACTTGCGCTTAAAATTCTGAGAAACCTGAGGCTCAGCACTCTGTCCCTTCCCCAGGTCTTCACGCTTTGGGCTCCCTGCCTGGAAAACAGTGCTCACCTCTCCCAGGGCTTAGACTATGCCAGGTCCACAATCTGGCACATCCTGATGCGTCACCCTCAGCCCAGCCCTCTCCTCTTAGCAGTACGGGTCTGCTTCTCCCTGTCTCTGGCTCCCAGACCCCAGGGATGTGGCACTGGGCTCACAAAGCCCCTCCTCCAAGGCCACCAGCTCTGGGGCTCCCCACTCCCCAAGTGGTACCAGCTGCTACCCAGGGCTCATGCCAGAGACCTCATCTCTTTCTCCCCATCTGCATCCTTTCCTTCCCCAGCATATGGTCCATAGTCTTGACAACGCTCCACACTCCCTCACTCCTTCCTCTTTCCTAGTCCAGACCAAAGCTATTTCCAGAATGTAGATCTCTCAATTCCAACAGTGCACCAGGATGACAAATAGAACTATCCCAGCTCTGACAACATCTGGAAATCTCTCTTGGTGCCCTTTACTCAGTACAGATAAGTGAAGGGATAGACAATATGCATAATTGTATAATTACAAGCCAACCCTTTAAGGTTGCTGCTTCCCACAAAACCATCTAAACAACTAAGAGGTCTCTCAATATGTCCATCATGAGTGAGCCTGCTCGCTGGGGCTGACCCTTGTGATCCAGCTGTCCTGTCCACATCACATGGATCGGGTGACCCTCAGGCCGCTGAATGGCCATTTCAGCCTGGGGGTCCCAGGGTCACCACGAGCTGCATGCCAAAGTAATCCCCTTTCGAGTATTACAGGGGCAGGATCTAAAAATGAATGACCTTCGCTAGGCACAGTGACTTACACCTCTAATCTCAGTGCTTTGGGAGGCCAAAGTGGGAGCATCACCTGAGGCTAGGAGTTTGAGACCAGCCTGGGCAACATAGCAAGACCCCATATCTACAAAAAATTTAAAAATTAGAGTGGGCACGGTAGCTGTCCTGTAATCCCAGCACCTAATGACACTTTGGGAGGCCAAGGTGGGCAGATCACTTGAGGTCAGGAGTGCAAAAGCAGCCTGGCCAACATGGTGAAACCCCATCTCCACTAAAAATACAAAAATTAGCCAAGCTTGGTGGTGTGCACCTATAGTCCTAGTTACTTGGGAGGCTGAGGCAGGATAATCACTTGAACCCAGGAGGCAGAGGTTGCAGTGAGCTGAGATCACACCACTGTACTCCAGCCTGGGTGACGGAGGGAGACTCCATCTCAAAAAAAAGAAAAAAAAATTATTTGGGTGTGGTGGCACACACCTGTAGTTCTGGCTACTGTGGAGGCTGAGGTGGGAGGTTCACTTGAGCACAAGAGTTTGAGGCTACAGTGAGCTATGATTGTGCCACTGCACTCCACGATGGGTGACAGAGCAAGACCATGTCTCAAAAAACGCCGGGGGGGCTGGCATGGTGGCTCACACCTGTAATCCCAGCACTTTAAGTGGCCAAGGTGGGAGGATCACTTGAGCCTAGCCAGGGCAACATAGTGAGACCCCATCTCTAAAAAAAAAAAAAAAATGGCCAGATGCAGTGGCTCACGTCTGTAATCCCAGCACCCTGGGAGGCTGAGGTGGGTGGACTGCTTGAGCTCAGGAGTTCCAGACCAGCCTAGCCCACATGACGAAACCCCATCTCTACTAAAAATACAAAAATTAGCCAGGCATGGTGGTGTGCGCCTGTAGTCCTGGCTACTTGGGAGGCTGAGGTGGGAGGATTGATGCCCAGGAGGCTGAGGCTGCACTGGGCTGAGATCGTACCACTGCACTCCAGCCAGGGCGACAGAGACCCTGTCTCAAAAAAAGAAAAAATTAAAAAATTAGCCAGGCGTGGTGGTGTGTACCTGTAATTCCAGTACTTTGGGAGGCTGAGGTGGGAGGGTGGCTTGGGCCCCTGAGGTCGAGGCTGCAGTGAGTCATGATCATGCCATAGCACTCCAGCCTGGGCAACACAGCAAGACCCTATCTCAAAAAATAAAAAATAAAAAAAGATGATCTTAAAAAATTCCAGGCTGAGCACAGTGGCTCACACCTGTAATCCCAGCACTTTGGGAGGCCTAAGCGGATGGATCACCTGAGGTCAGGAGTTTGAGACCAGCCTGGCCAACATGGAAAAACCCTGTCTCTACTACTACTAAAAAAAAAAAAAAAAAAAAAAAAAAAAAAAAAAATTAGCCGGGTGTGGTGGTGCATGCCTGTAATCCCAGCCACTCTGGAGGCTGAGGTGGGAGAATCGTTTGAACCTGGGAGGCAGAGGTTGCAGTGAGCCGAGTTCATGCCATTGCACTCCAGCCTGGGCAACAGAGCAAGACTCTGTCTCAAATTAAAAAAAGAAAAAAAAAAGATAAAATAAAATTCCATGAAGCCATTCCTGGCATGGACAATGGGACAAGCTGACATCATGAGCTTCCTAACGAGGTACAATAAAAGGCACCACAGGTGCCCCTGCCAAGATTATTTAGCCTGCATCTCATCATGAAGAAACAATCAGACAAATTTAAATTGTGGGACATTCACACAAAGACAAAGTCAAGAGAAGAAGAAAAAGGCAGGAGGCCTGTTCTAAGTTAAAAGAGACAAGAAATGTGACAACCAAACGCAGTGTGTGAGAACCTTGATTATATTTTGGACTTTATTGATTGATTGATTGAGACAAGGTCTTGCTCTGTTGCCCAGGCTGGAATGCAGTGGTATGATCATGGCTCACTGTAGCCTTGACTTTCAGGACTCAAATGATCCTCCCGTCTCAGCCTCTCAAGTAGCTGGGACTACAGGTGTGCACCACCACACCCAGCTAATTGAAAACAAATTTTTTTATTTTTTTTGTAGAGACAGGTGTCTCCCTATGTTGCCCAAGCTGGTCTCAAACTCTTGGGCTCAAAAGAGCCTCCCACCTTGGCTTCCCAAAGTGCTGGGATTACAGGCATGAGCCACCTTGCCCAGCCAGATCTTGGACTTTGGAAAAAAAGAGCTTTAAAAGGCATTTTGGGGGCCAGGCGTGGTGGCTCACACCTGTAGTCCCAGCACTTTGGGAGGCTGAGGCGGGCAGATCAACTGAGATCAGGAGTTTGAGATCAGCCTGGCCAACATGGTGAAACATCGTCTCTACTCAAAATACAAAAATTAGCCAGGCGTGGTGGCAGGCACCTGCAATCCCAGCTACATGGGAGGCTGAGACAGAAGAATCGCTTAAACCCAGGAGGCAGAGGTTGCAGTGAGCAGAGATTGCACCATTGCCCTCCAGCCTGGGCAACAAGAGTGAAACTCCATCTCAAAAATAAATAAATAAATAAATAAATAAATAAATAAATAAATAATAAAGGTATTTTGGGGGTCAGGCGCAGTGGCTCACGCCTGTAATCCCAGCACTTTGGGAGGCTGAGATGGCCGGATCACCTGAGGTCAGGAGTTTGAGATCAGCCTGGCCAACATGGTGAAACCCTGTCTTTACTAAAAGTACAAAAATTAGCCAGGCATGGTGGTGTGCGTGCACGCCTGTAATCCCAACTACTCAAGAACTGGAGGCAGGAGAATGGCTTGAACCTGGAAGGCGGAGGTTGTAGTGAGCTGAGATCACGCCACTGCACTCCAGCCTGGGTGACAGAGACTCCGTCCTGGTGCTCCAGCCTCGGTGACAGAGACTCCATCTCAAAAAAAAGGAAAAAAAAAAGAAAAGCCATCTGGGGACAACTGGTAACATTTACAGGTAAGTCACATATTTAATGGCATCATTTTGCTAAATAAATGTTAGCTTTCTTAAGTATGACGACGGTATTGTGGTAATGTGGGAGAATGTCCATATTCATTCACGGTGCACACTGCAATGTTAGGGGAAACGTGGCTGGGTTTTGCAGCTTACTTTTAAATGAATTTGAAAAAAAGATCTATAAATATGTAAGAGAGAATGACAGAACAATTGTGGCTCAATACAGTCATACATCACATAATGATGTTTCAGTCTACGATGGATTGCATATCTCCACAGTGGTCTCATAAGATTATAATGGAGCCAAAAAATTCCCATTGCCTAGTATTTACTATATTTTACTTACTTATTTATTTTTGAGACAGAGTCTTGCTCTGTCGCCCAGGTTGGAGTGCAGTGGCGTGATCTCGTATTACTGCAGCCTCGACTTCCCCGGCTCAAGCGATCCTCCCACCTTAGCCTCCCAAGTACCTGGGACCACAGGCACATGCCATCATACCCAGCTAATTTTTTTATTTGTACAGACAAGGTCTCGCTATGCTGCCTAGGTTAGTCTGGAACTCCTGGGCTCAAGTGATCCTCCTGCCTTGGACTCCCAAAGTGCTGGGATTATAGATGTGAGCCACTGCACCTGGTCATATACTATACTTTAAATTGTTATTTTAGAGTGTACTCCTTCTACTTATTTAAAAAACAGTTAAGCTGTAAAACAGCCTCAGGCAGGTTCTTCAGGAGGTATTCCAGAAGAAGGCATTGTTATCATAGGAGATGACAGCTCTATGCATGTTACTGCCCAGAACTTCCAGTGGGACAAGAGGTGGACATGGAGACAGTGATACTGATGATCCTGACCCTGTGTAGGCCTAGGCTAATGTATGTGTTTGTGTCTTAGTTTTTAGCAAAAACATTTAAAAAGTGAAAAAAAAAAAAAAAAAAAAAGGGCCAGGCACAGTGTCTCACACCTGGAATCCTAGCACTTTGGGAGACCGAAGCAGGCGGATCACTTGAAGTCAGGAGTTTGAGACCAGCCTGGCCAGCCAACATGGTGAAACCCCATCTCTACTAAAAATACAAAAAAATTAGCTGGGCATCGTGGCGTTCACCTGTAGTCCCAGCTACTTGGGAGGCTGAGGCAATGAGAATCGCTTGAACCCAGGAGGCGGAGGTTGCAGTGAGCCGAGATCAAGCCACTGTACTCCACTGTACTTTTCTTGAGACATAGCAAGACTCTGTCTCAAAAAAAAAAAAAAGTAAAAAAAAAATTAATTTCACCAGCGCGGTGGCTCACGCCTGTAATTCCAGCACTTTGGGAGGCTGAGGTGGGCGGATCACTTGAGGTCAGGAGTTTGAGACCAGCCTGGCCAACATGGTGAAACCCCGTCTCTACTAAAAATACAAAAAATTAGCTGGGCGTGGTGGCTCATGCTTGTAATCCCAGCTACCCAGGAGGCTGAGGCAAGAGAATCGCTTGAACCTGGAGATGGAGGTTGCAGTGAGCCGAAATCACACCACTGCACTCCACCCTGGGCGACAGAGCAAGATTTTGTCCTAAACAAACAAACAAAAAAGCTCCAAAAATCTTTTATGGTGTATTTTTGCTGTACCTTTTCTATGTTTAGATACACAAATACTTACGACTGTGTTGCAGTTGCCTGCAATATTTAGCGTAGTAACGTGCTGTTTAGGTTTGTAGCCTGGGAGCAATTGGCTACACCATACAGCTGAGGTGTGTTGTAGGCTATCCCATCTAGGTTTGTGTATGTACACTGTATGATGCTCATGCCACAACAAAATCACCTAATGGCATATTTTCCAGGACATATCCCCATCATTAAGTGACACATGGCTGTACCAATAATTGGTCCATCTACAGGAAGGGCAGAATGACATTCATTGTACCAACTTTTCTGTATATCAAAATGCAAAATAGCTGGGTGCAGTGGTTCACACCTGTAATCCTAGCACTTTGGGAGGCTGAGGCGGGTGGATCACGTGAGGCCTGGAGTTCAAGACCAGCCTGGCCAACATGGCGCAAACCCATCTCTACTAAAAATACAAAAATTAGCCAGGCATGGCTACAGAGTCCCAGCTACTTAGGTGGCTGAGGCACGAGAATTGCTTGAACCCAGGAGGCAGAGGTTGCAGTGAGCTGTGATTGAGCTGTTGCACTCCAGCCTGGGCGATAGAGACTCTGTCTCAATAAAAAAGGAAAAAAACAAAATAAAAATAAACAAAAATATTGGGGAGGCCAGGTGCAGTGGCTCACACTTGTAATCCCAACACCTTGGGAGGCTGAGGTAGGAGGATCACTTGAGGCCAGGAATTTGAGACCAGCCTGGGACACATTGTGAGTTCTTGTCTGTATTTTTTAAAACATAAAATTAAAAAGAAAAATATGGGGAAAAGTGTTTTTAAAATCCACTGTTTGGAACTCCCTCAGACCAGGTGGCCTGATGTTTGCACTGATGACAACCCAGTCTCCTTCAGCCTGGCCTGCCCTCTGCACTCCGGATCTAAGTGTCTGGGCCTGCTGGACAACCCTACTTGGCTGTAACACAGACTCCTCCCGTTGGTCCACAGACAAAACTCAGCCTGCTTGCTTCTCCTGGTTCTCTTTTGCTATTTTAAGTCTCCCTTGACTCCTCACTCCCTTTTGCAGCCAGACCAGCACACAAGTGTCTTTTTGCTCCATCGACGGCTGTCTGTCCTCACTGGCTCCCACCCACTGCCCGGCTCAGTCTCTCACCAGGATGACCACGACAGCCCCCGACCTACTGTCTTTCTGCTTCTCCCATCCATTCGCCATGGCAATCAGAGGGATTCTTTGCAAATAAAAAAAACCTGACCGCATCACTCTGCTGCTTCTAGAGCCTTCAATGCCTCCCCACTGCCCTAGAACAAAGTCCAAATTCCTGAACGTGGCCTCCTACACCCTGAAGGCCTCTTTGGCCTCTGTTCCACTCTCTACCTGTCACAGTGCCACTCCAAGTATTTGCAGCTCCTCAAATATCCGAGGCTCCCTCTTGCCACAGGGCCTTTGCACCTGTTGTACCCTCGCCTCTGCCTGGACACTCCGTGCCTGGTTAATGCACCTTTCAGGCTTCACCTGGCTCCTCCGGGAGGATGCTAAAGTGTAAAGTGTTTATAAAGTTGACAGTCCTGTAGCTGCTGATTATAGGTCTTTTTTCCCTCACCTCACTGTGACCACCCTGAGGGTGGGGACTGTGTCTGAATTGCATCTGTGTAAACAGTGCCCAGCTCCAGGTCTGGTGCCTATGGAGGAGATGCTTGGGGAATGGTAGCTGGTTCTCTGGCCCTAGGAACTTAAAAGTCAGGGCTCCAGTTCCCGCTCTGCCAAGGATTCTCTCTGCCGAGTCGGGCCTCAGTTTCCCTGTCTGAATAAGGGGTGAGAGCTTTGATCCAGGTGGGCAGGCCCAGCACAGTCACTCCAGTTCCTGCAGTGCACTATCATGACCACCAGGTGTCACTGCTGGGCCACAGCCAGAACGCATCTGCAAGCTGCACTAAGGGAGTTGGTTGGTGAAGTGTACATAGGAGCCCTCGGGGACCTTGCCAGCACTGAACCTCATTCCCACCTGTCCCCAACAGAGCTGTTCCCCCAGCCCCCAAAGCTTCATGCAGCCCCCAGCCCAGTGGGTCCCCTCCCAGGCAAGCAGCAAGCAGGGGCAGAAGTGCAGGTAGAAGAGGGGCAGGAAGGTGGGTGGGCAGGGGCCCTGCTACCTCTTGCGGGGAGCCCACAGGTGGTTCTGGGTTCAAGGACTGGTCTAGGGTGGCCAGGGCATCCTGCCGGGGATTCTCATGAAGGGACAGGACTGCCCAATCTCTCCCACCCCTCCTGGACTGGGTGGTAAATGTGTTCCCAGACCAAGGGCCTCTGGGAGAGGCCAGTAATTAGCCTAGGGGAGGCAGAGAGCCAGGCTTGCATGGGTCTATCTGATCCCAGCTCAGCTCATGTCCATACTGGCAGTATTAAGAGACTCTGGAGCTACGGAGGATGGGTATGGGGTAGGAGGAGATTCAGGACAGCAGGGGCCAGGAGAGGCTAACTGGAGAGGTAGCAGGGCACCAGAAGTCATGGGCAGACACAGGGGAAGACTCGTGCAGGGTAGGGGGCTCCCACGGCTGTATCCATCACTGACCCCACAATCAAGAACTAAGAGGGCAAGGCAGGCACTGGGTGCCACCCACATCCTCACTAACTTGTGACTGCCAGGAAGTAGGGTGTCCCAGCCAGACTGCATGTGGAGGGGGAGTCACAATCCCCCCCACCGCCAAAAAGAGCTTCCTAGTTGTCTCTCTCTCCTGAAGGAGTGTCTGCCTCCACTCTGTCCATTTTCCAGATGTCTCCCCTGTCAGTGATGGTTTCCAGATCCCTGTGTCGTGGGGCTTTTGGGTATGGTATGTTTTAGGGTCCTCGTCTTTCCCCCACGTCTCTTGGGTGAGTAGATTTCTAGGTCCTAACCCGAAAATCCCTCCCCTGCAATGATTTTCAATGATTGTGAAGGTTTCTATTTTCTTTTCTTTTCTTTTTTTTTTTTTGAGACAGAGTCTCGTTCCGTCGCCCAGGCTGGAGTGCAGTGGCGCGATCTCTGCTCACTGCAACCTCTGCCTCCTGGGTTCAAGCGATTCCCCTGCCTCAGCCTCCTGAATAGCTAGGACTACAGGTGCGTACCACCATGTCCAGCTAATTTTTGTATTTTTAGCCCAAACCTTTAAGGCTAATTTTGTATTTTTGTATTTTTTTGTATTTTAGAGATGGGGGTTTTGCCATGTTGGCCAGGCTGGTCTCAAACTCCTGACCTCAAGTTATCTACCCGCCTCGGCCTCCAAGAGTGCTGGGATTACAGGTAGGAGCCACGGCATCCCGGACGATTGTGAAGGTTTCTAGGACCCCACATTAATCATGAGATTTTGCGGTGTGTGGTTTCTAGTTCCCCCTTCTTGTCCCCTTCT
The DNA here is from genome assembly GCF_000001405.40 of Homo sapiens. Lineage (NCBI taxonomy): Eukaryota > Metazoa > Chordata > Mammalia > Primates > Hominidae > Homo > Homo sapiens. The sequence continues at coordinate 29,244,224 of NC_000022.11, read as the reverse complement.
CATTTACTCTGTCTCCTGTATATGTGAGAGTTTCTAGGCTTCCCTTCTCATCCATCATGGGTCTCCTATGTATGTGATGGTGTCTAGGACCTTGTGTAAACTATAGGTCCTTTAAGTATAGAGGAGTCTAGGTCACCTGGCCTCATTAACCACATCAAACGTGTACATAGCAGTTTCGAGGCGTCTCTTCACAGGCTTCATGAATTTCCGATGTGTATGGTGGTATCTAGTTCCCTGTCCTTTTTACCACGTGGCTCCTATGTACCTCATCATTTCTAGGCCCCTTTCCTAGGTCCTCTATCCCATTCTCCTGTGTAGATATTGTCTTCATTCTTCCCTTTGTTCTGCAGACAAGGGAGCAAGCTAAGCCTTGGCTGGGAGGGGGCTATGGAGGCAGGGGATGCAGTCTGGCCTGGGTCAGCCCAAACCACCCAGGAGGAAAAGGCAGAGCCACCCTGGCCTGGAAAGGCCACAGAGGGAAGGTGGAGACAGGGACAGAGACTGAGACAGAAGGCATGGGGTCTGCTGATAGGGCTGGCCCTGCCCGGTTGGGAGCAACAAGATGGGGGAAGGAGTTGGGGCTGATAATTGCCAAGGCTCCTGCCTGGGAGACCAGGCTGTAGTGGGGATGTGGATGGGATGCTCCCACTCCCAGGGCCTCCTGGGGAGGGAATACTCTCTTGAGCATGTAGGGCTGAGAAGGCAGGGAGAGGCCAGTGCCAGGCCAGAGCTTACCCAGTGGCTCTTCTCACCAGGGTCTCCCTTAGGGCCAGGTTCCCCCTGCAAGGAGAGACAGAGATAGCAGCAGTGAGGAAGGCAAGGAGACAGAAAGGGACGGGAAAAAAAGAGGGAGGAAAAAGAGCGGGGAAAGGGAGAGAAACTTAGAGAAACAGAAAGTAGCTTGTATTGGATACAAAGCAAAAACCAACTGATTGAAGGCAACGGAAAGTAATAAAAAGCAGACAGACACTGGAGAATATTCAACCCTTAAAAGAAGGGAATGGCATTGGGTAAAATCCATGTATTTACAGCTTTTCCTCAGAGGGTGCACCTCAGCCCCATCAGCCTGGCAAAACAAGAGCTCAAGCAGAAAGTTTCAGTTTTATTGGCCTCAGGAATCAGAGGTTGAGGTTGCCAGAGAAGCAAGAAATTGATGAGAAATACTGGGAAGCAGGGAGCTACAAGTGGGGGAACTAAATCTGCATAAATGTTCCTTTCTGACGCTTGGATGGTCCCTGGATTGACCAATCACAGGGCAATACTCCAAGGAGCCCAGAGGGGGAGAACCAACAGATTGGTAGAACTGACTAAAGATGTCAAAAATTGCCCACCATATAGGAGACAGAGTTTAGAGTTCCAGTCCAACCAAGTTAGAGGTGCTTGTGAACACCTAAAGCTTTCTAATGAAACTCTAGAACAGCCATGACTTAGGAAGAAAGACCCTATCTCAGGATTAAGGGATTTTTCCTAGGACTAAGAGCAAAACCAGAGATTCTCTCTGATAAAACCTACAACTAAGTCTCTAAAAGAGCAAGATGACCCATCAATAATTTAACTGTTCTAGAATAAAACTCAATACTCTTCAGGAGATAACAGAATTTAGAGTCTTTTCAACATATTATCTACTTTGTCCAGTGTGCAACAAAAAATTACTAGATGTGAAGACACAGGAAAATGTGACCTATATTCAAGAGAAAAATCTGTCAATAGAAATAGATCCACAGCCGACCTATATGTTAGAATCAGCAAAGGAGTTTAAAATATCTATGATTAATATGTTAAAGAATCTACTGAAATTGATATCATGGGTGATAAGATGGAGAATTTTAGGAGAGATATATAAATTATAAAAAAGAATCAAATGGAAATCCTGGAAGTGAAAACGATAATACCAGAAATAGAAAATTATCAGATGAAATTAACATAAGATTGGACACAACAGAAGAAGTAATCAATCAACTTGAACATAGATCAATGGAATAATTTAAAGTACAGACAGAGCCTGTAATCCTAGCACTTTGGGAGGCCAAGGTGGGAGGATAGCTCCCTAGCCAAGGTGGGAGGATAGCTTGAGGCCAGGAGTTTGGGGCCAACCTGAGCAACCCCATTTCTACTAAAAATGAAAAAACAAAAACCAAACAAAAAAACAAGCCAGATATGGTGGTGTGCACCTGTAGTCCCAGCTACTCAGGAGGCTGAGGTGGGAGGATTGCTTGAGCCTAGGAGCTCAAGACTGCAGTGAGCTGTGATCACACCATTGCACTCCAGCCTGGGTGACAGAGCAAGACCCTATCTCAAAAAAGTAAAATAAAGAAATATAAAGCACAGAGAGACAAAGATTGTTTAAAAAACTAACAGAACTTCAGTGACTCATGGGAGAAAATCAATGGAGTTCCAGAAGGACATACTGGAGAGCAGAAACAGAAAAAAATGTTTGGGGAAATGTTGACCTTTTTTTTTTTCAAATTTGATTTAAAAACAAAACAAAACAGACTTCTGGGTTCCAACCTGGCATGTAAAGAGGTTAGAAGTTGTTGGCTGGGTGCGGTAGCTCACGCCTGTAATCCCAGTGCTTTGGGAGGCTGAGGCGGGCGGATCATCTGAGGTCACAAGTTCAAGACCAGCCTAACCAACATGGTGAAACCCCGTCTCTACTAAAAATACAAAAATTAGCTGGGCGTGGTGGCAGGTGCCTGTAATCCCAGCTACTCTGGAGGCTGAGGCAGGAGAATCGCTTGAACCCGGGAGGTAGAGGTTGCAGTGAGCCGAGATCACACCATTGCACTCCAGCCTAGGGGACAAGGGCGAGAGTCATCTCGAAAATAAAAAGACCTTAGAAGTTATCATTCCATCTTAACAACAAGTGGAAAGTTGAAAAAAACTGAAAAATCAACAACTCTTCTTAGATCTGTTGGAGAAGTGAGACCATAGGCAAACGATTGCCCCCAAAGCTGGAGAGGCAAATCCAGACTATCACAACTTACTAAAGCAGAAACCCACAAGCACAAGCCTCCAGAGGAACCAGGGCCAGGGTAGGAAAACCTAAACTGTAATTGATGAACTTCTGGAGGCTCAGTGTAGACCAGTCTTAGGGTTAAAAACTCCAGGGGGACCCAGTCAGACCCACATCCCTCCTTTCATGAGTTTTACCTCAAGGAGCTCTACAAGGCCCTCACAGTGAATATCAGAGAAAAATGCCCTTGTCCTTCCAGCAAGGAGAGGAGAGAAGGCATCATTTTGAAATAGACCAAGCATTCTGTTCTGAACAAAGCCTGACTCAGGAGAAACTACTTTACCAGAGCCTAACCTGTTGGAGTGATCGGACCCAACACCAGGTCATGGGGGCGACAAAGTCTGACAGAGTCAAAGGAATGAGAAAAGACAGTTTGAGAGAGAAAGTGCGTCCAGGGGGCCAACACAAGTATGGAGGCTGTGAAGGCCCCGAGTTCTGGGAGCCCACACTATTTACTGGTGATCAAACAAAGAAACAGGTGGCAAGGATGTGGGGGTTGAGAGAATGCGATGCGTCAAGCGCATGATTTACAGCTGTGACAGTTTAGCATTTTCTTTGAAGCATATGGAACATGTTCTGCTACTTGAGGTAATGGGAGTGCTAGAAGCAAGGAGCCAGCAAGTCTAGACACATTCCAGAGGCCACGAGGGGTTTTATGCCCTGAGCCCTGGATTCCATCCAAGTCACGAGGGGTTTTATGCCCTGGGCTTAGATTACGGTGTGGCAGGGTAGCCTTCCACCCTTTAGCACAGAGTTTGGTGTTCCAAAGGCCACGAGGGGTTCTTGACCCTGGACCCCAGACATGTTCCAAGACTCTTTTACATTATGTCAGACGTGCAAGCCCTGCCTCAGCTTCCCTCCCAACACTCAGCTTTTCTCCCAACACTAAGCAACCTGGAGGAAGCGAAATACCCACTTCCAGCTCCCTCTAGTTTCCACATGAAAGAAGGGAAATATCCAACTCTAACTCCCTCTAGATAACCTGTCCCACCTAAGGGGCAAAACAACCCCCAAACAAAAACAAAACAAAACAACAACTGAGACACACTGGTGAAGTTCACAGTCCAAGGGCACAAGCTCATCTAAAGACTGAGACCTAGGCCAGGTGCAGTGGCTCACACCTACAATCCTAGCACTTTGGGAGGCCAAGATGGGTGGACTGCCTGAGCTCAGGAGTTCAAGACCAGCCTGGCCAACACGGTGAAAGCTCATCTCTACTAAAATACAAAAAAATTAGCTGGGTGTGGTGGCGGGCGCCTGTAGTCCCAGCTGCTTGGGAGGTTGATTAGCTGGGTGTGGTGGCAGGCGCCTGTAGTCCCAGCTGCTTGGGAGGTTGATGCACGAGAATCACTTGAACACAGGAGGTGGAGGTTGCAGTGAGCCAAGATCGAGCCACTGCACTCCAGTGCCTGGGAGACAGAGTGAGACTCTGTCTCAAAAAAAAAAAAAAGACTGAGATCTAATCATAGGACTCCAGAACACTTCCCTTCCCCAATACCTTCTCACTACATTACTAAAGGCCTATCTACTGCAGTTCTTTTGCACAGTACATTATGTCTACCTTCCAGTGAAAAATTACAAGGCATACTAAAAGGCAAAAACACAGTTTGAAGAGATTCAACAAACATCAGAACCTGCATCAGTTATGGCAGAAATGTTCAGATTATCAGGCCAGGAATTTTAAAAATCTACAATTAACATGCTAAGGGAATTAATGGAAAAAGTAGACAACATGCAAGAAGAGATGGATTATAAGCAGAGAGATGGAAATTCTAAGAAAGGCCTGGGCGTGGTGGCTCATGCCTGTAATCCCAACACTTTGGGAGGCTGAGGTGGGTAGACTGCTTAAACTCAGGAGTTTGAGACCAGCCTGGGTAACATGGTAAAACCCTGCCTCTACATTAAAAAAAAATTTTTTTTAAAAGAAAAAAAAGATATTCTAAGAAATAATTAAAAATAAGTGGTAGATATAAAAAGCACTGTAACAGAAATAAAGAATGCCATTGATGGGCTTATTCGTGGACTGGACATGGCTGAGGAAAGAATCTCTAAGCCTGATGATATGACAATGGAAACTTTCAAAACTGAAATGCAAAGAGAAAAAAGGCTGAAAGAATAGAACAGAATATCCAAGAATTGTGGGACAATTACAAAAGATGTAAATATGCATAATAGAATACCAGAAGGAAAAAAGAGAAAGAAACACAAGCAATATTTGAAGTAATAATGACAGAATTTTCCCCCCAAAAATGTCAGACACCAAACCACAGATCTAGGAAGATAAGGGAATACCATATAGGATAAATGCCAAGAAATGACAAGTAGGCATATCATATCCAAATTTCAGAAAATCAGGCTGGGTGCAGTGGCTCACACCTGTAATCCCAGCACTTTGGGAGGCCAAGGCAAGAGGATCACTAGAGGTCAGAAAGACCAGCCTGGGCAACATAGTGAGATCTTGCTTCTAAAATTAAAAAAAAAAAAAAAAAAAATGGCCGGGCACGGTGGCTCACGCCTGTAATCCCACCACTTTGGGAGGCCGAGGCGGGCGGATCACCTGAGGTCAGAAGTTTGAGACCAGCCTGGCCAACATGGTGAAACCCTGTCTCTACTAAAAATACAAAAAATTAGCCGGGCGTGATGGCAGGTGCCTGTAATCCCAGCTATTTGGGAGGCTGAGGCAGGAGAATCGCTTGAACCCAGGAAGCGGAGGTTGCAGTGAGCCAAGATCACACCATTGCACTCCAGCCTTGGGGACAAGAGTGAGATTTCATCTCAAAACAGAAAAAAAAATTAGCCAGGTGTGGCACATGACAGTAGTCCCAGCTACTCGAGAGGTGGAGGCGGGAGGATCCCTTGAGCCCAGAAGCCTCAAGGCTTCTGAGGTGACAGAGTATGACCTTATCTCTAATAATAATAATAATAATAATAATAATAATAATAATAATAATAATAATTTTTAGAAAAACTTCAGAGAATCAAAGATAAAAAAATACTGAAAAGAAAACAGAGGGAAAAAATATCTTTCCTGCAGAGGAGCAACAATAATAATTACAACCAACTCTGCAGAAACCATGCAAGCAAGAGAGTGGAGAGTAATATACCAAGTATTGAGAGGAAAAAAACACATCAACCTAGAATTCTTTACCCTGAAAAATTATCCTTCATGCATGAAAGGGAAATGAAGACTTTCAGACAAACAAACAGTGAGGGAATTTTTGTCAGTAGATCTGCCTTGTAGGAAACATTAAAAGAAGTTCTTCAGCGGAGCACTTATTTTATTTTATGGAATGAAGTGTTGCCCGATTCTAGAATCACAAATAAAGCCAACTGGGAAAAAATAAAGGTAGTTCTTCAGAGAGGACAAAAATTATGTGTCAGAAACTCAGATTTTTTTTGTTTGTTTTTTTTGAAACGGAGTCTCGCTCTGTTGCCCAGGCTGCAGTGCAGTGGCGCGATCTCCACTCACTGCAAGCTCCATCCCCCAGGTTCATGCCATTCTCCTGCCTCAGCCTCCCAAGTAGCTGGGACTACAGGCACCTGCCAGCACGCCCAGCTACATTTTTTTTGTATTTTTAGTAGAGACGGGGTTTCACCGTGTTCACCAGGATGGTCTCCATCTCCTGACCTCATGATCTGCCCACCTCGGCCTCCCAAAGTGCTGGGATTATAGGCGTGAGCCACCGTGCCTGGCCAGAAACTCAGATTTTACATAAAGAAAGGAGGAGCATGGCCGGGCATGGTGGCTCACACCTGTAACCCCAGCACTCTGGGAGGCTGAGGTGGGTGGATCACCTGAGGTCAGGAGTTTGAGACCAGTCTGGCCAACATGGTGAAACCCTGTCTCTACTAAAAATATAAAAATTAGCCAGGCAGGGTGGCAGGTGCCTGTAGTCCCAGCTATTCAGGAGGCTGAGGCAGAGAATTGCTTGAACCCAAGAGGCAGAGGTTGCAGTAGCAGAGATCACACCACTGCACTACAGCCTGGGTGACAGAGCAAGACTCTCTCTCAAAAGAAAATAAGTAAGTAAATAAATAAATAAAGCCAAAAAAAGGCAGAAAAAGTCTGGCAGACAAAAATAGGAACAAAGAACAAGGAAAACAAATAGAAAATAGTAGCTGGGCGAGGTGGCTCACACCCGTAATTCCAGCACTTTGGGAGGCCAAGGCCGGTAGATCACAAAGTTAGAAGTTCAAGACCAGTCTGGCCAAGATGGTGAAACCCCATCTCTACTAAAAATACAAAAATTAGCCAGGTATGGTGGTGGGCGCCTGTAGTCCCAGCTACTTGGGAGGCTGAGGCAGGAGAATTGCTTGATCCCGGGAGGCGGAGCTTGTAGTGAGCCGAGATCCAGCCACTAGACTCCAGCCTGGGCGACAGAGCAAGACTCTGCCTCAAAAAATAAAAAAAAAAAGAAAAAAAAGAAAGAAAATAGTAATATGGTAGCTGTTAACCCAACTATATAAATAACACTTCATTTATTTAGTTATTTTTTATTTTACTGATTGACTTATTTTTTTGAGATGGAGTCTCACTCTGTCGCCCAGGCTGGAGTGCAGTGGCACAATCTTGGCCCACTGCAACCTCCGCCTCCCAGGTTCAAGCAATTCTCCTGCCTCAGCCTCCTGAGTAGCTGGGATTACAGGAGTGCGCCACCATACCTGGCTAATTTTTGTGTTTTTAGTAGAGACGGGGTTTCACCATGTTGGCCAGGCTGGTCTCAAACTCCTGACCTCAGGTGATCCCCCTGCCTCCACCTCCCAAAGTGCCAGGATTACAGGTGTGAGCCACCGTGCACAGACTATTTAGTTATGTTTTAGAGGCAAGGTCTGGTTCTGTCACTCAGGCTGGAATGCAGTAAAGCAATTATAACTGTCACCTTAAACTCCTGGGCTCAAGCAATCCTCCCAGCTCAGCCTCTCAGGTAGCTGAATCTACAGGTGCACACTACCACGTCCAGCCAATTTTTAAATTTGTTTTATAGAAAAAGGGTCTCATTTTGTTGCCCACTCTAGTCTCAAACTCCTGATTTCAAGTGATCCTCCTGCCTTGGCCTCCTGAAGTGCTGGAATTACAGGTGTGGGCCACTATGCTGGGCCTCAATAATCACTTTAAATGTCAATGGCCTAAATGCAGCAAATAAAAGATGAGGATTGTTAGAATGGACCAAAAAATAAGACCTAACCGTAGGTTTTCTATAAGAAACTGACTTTAAATATAACCACAAAACAGATTAAATGTAAAGGAATAGAAGTTAACTGGGCATGGTGGTACATGCCTGTGGTCCCAGCTACTCAGGAGGCTGAGGTGTGAGGATTGCCTGAGCCAGGGAGGTTGGGGCTACAGTGAGCTATGATTGCACCACTGCACTCCAACCTGGGTGACAGAGAAAGACCCTGTATCAAAAAAAAAAAAAAAAAAAAAAAAAAAGCTTAAATTCTAGAAAGCTTTAATTCTAGAAAGAAAATTAATTTTAGAAAGAGAAGATTTTAAGTCAGGCACAATGGTGCACACCTGTAGTCCCAGATACTTGGGAGGCTGAGGCAAGAAGATCACTTAAGACACTTCATTCACTATGTGCCCAGGAGTTTGAGTTCAGCCTAGGCACATAGGGAAACCCTGTCTCTAAAAAAGAAAAAAGAAATCATAAAAAGTACTCAATCCAAAAGAAGACAAGAAAAGAAAAGGGAAAAAAGAAACACAAAACAGAAGGAATAAATAGAACATAAACAGCAAGATGGCTAAACAGAACCATATTAATCAATTATACATATCATTAAATATAAATTAACTAAACAGTCAAACTGTTTTTAAACAGCAAGACCCAAGTCATATGATGCACTTTTTTTTTTTTTTTTTTTTGAGATGAAGTCTCACTCTTATTGCCCAGGCTGGAGCACAATGGTGTGATCTCAGCTCACTGCAACCTCTGCCTCCTGGGTTCAAGCAATTCTTCTGCCTCAGCCTCCCGAGTAGCTGGGATTACAGGTGCCTACCACCATGCCTGGCTAATTTTTGTATATTTAGTAGAGACGGGGTTTCACCATGTTGACCAGGCTGGTCTTGAACTTCTGACCTCAGGTGATCCACCCGTCTCAGCCCCCCAAAGTGCTAGGATTACAGGCGTAAGCCACCGTGCCCGGTCCACACTTTCTTACATTTAATAAAATTTATATACATATTTTTATATAAAGACAGAGTTTTGTCATGTTGCCCAAGCTGGTCTTGAACTCCTGAGCTCAAACGATCCACCTTCCTCGGCCTCCCACAGTGCTGGGATTACAGGTGTGAGCCACCACACCCAGCCATGATGCACTTTAAATATAAAGTTACAGGTTGAAAAAAAAAAGGATAAAAAAAGATATAACATGCAAATAGCAAGCATAAGAAAGCTGGTGTGCTATTAAAAGCACACAAAGTCGATTCAAGGCAAGTATTATCAGAGATAAAGATATTAATTTCATAAAGATAAAATGACCAAGGAGACATTAAAATACTAAATGTGAATGCACCTAATAACAAAGACTCAAAATACGTAAAGCAAAATTCACCAAATTAAAGAGAGAAATGAACAGATCTACAATCAGAATTGGAGAGATAGAGTGTAAATGAAATACAGAGTCAAAGAGACAGACGTACAGAGGGAAAGAGAGAGATACAGAGAAACAGAGAGCCAGAGTGAGAGAGACAGAGGCAGCCTAATCCAAAGAGGACAATGAGTCTCAGAGACAGGGAGCATCTGAAAATAAATGACAAGACAGGGAGGGTTAGAAGCTCTGGTTGCAGGGGATGGAGTCACAGGAGGAATCTGGGACTAAGGGATCCTGCAGGGATGAATGCGGGACAGACAGCAACACTTACCCGCTGCCCAGCAGAGCCTTGGGGGCCAGGCTCCCCACGCAGTCCCTGTGTAAGAGGGAGGAGACGAATGGCGTCAGCTGTTGAGGACTCTGACCTGGGGCCCTCAGGACTCCCCAGAATTCCCCCACCTGGGGCCACCTGGGTACTCACTCTCTCGCCCTTCTCTCCTGGGTGGCCAGAGATTCCTTTGGGTCCAGTGGGGCCTGGGGGTCCCTGAGCAACAAGACAGGGCCTCAGCCTTGTGTTGGGGCAGGATGGAGTGGGCAGGGGCTTGGGAACAGAGGTGTTGGGGAGGGCGCTCAAGCTTGGTCTGGGCCTCTGGGTTCTTCACCATACACCCAGCACACCGCAGTCAGTTCATACAGCTCAGTGTTAAAAGATCTGATCCTGGAGTCAGACAGTCCCACCACAGCTCATTGCCATGTGCTGGCACAAGAATCTCTACTTTTCTTGGTCTTAGGTGATAACCACACATGGTTCTCATTACTTGGATTGAATAAGATTTATGGAAGGTAGTTTGCATATTAAGTGCTCAATAAATACTTGTTGAATGAATGAATGGAAGGATGAATGGATGGATGGATAGATGGATACAAGGGTGGATGATGGACAGATGTATGGATGTATGCATAGATGGAAAGATGGACAGACACATGGGTGAGAGTACAAGGAGAACTACTCACTATGTGACCAGGACTCCCAGGGACACCTGTGGGGCCAGGAGGCCCAGGGGGACCTGGAAAAAGACAGGATGTCCTAAGGGCCGGAACAAAGTACAATCTCAGGAAGTGCCCCATCAGCTCCCTCCTGATAGCCACAAACCCTATTCCCTCTGCCATCTACCAACTTCACCCTTTACCCCTGGCCTGGACTCAACTTACCCATGGGCCCTGGAGGGCCTGGAGGCCCAGTGGGTCCCTGGGGCCAGTGGTTGTTGGTCTCAGTGAAGGTGTTGGACAGCAATGGGTCTCCTGGGTGAGCAAAGATGATGAGTGAGTAGAGCTGGGTAGAGTGGGGTGGTTAGTCTTCACCTGCCACCTCTGCCAAGACAGCTTGGACTGCCCTATGGGGCAGCCTGCAGCATGGCTGGTACCACCTGGGCACCTGCTCCAGGGTGAGGAGTGTGGAGAGTGTTGGTCCCGCAAGACCAGGAGGCAGGGAGATGTGGGTTCTAACCCCACTGCAATCCAGCTGGTGACATCCAGCAACACTTTCTACTTTTCAGAGCCTGTACTGTCACCTGTCAAATGGGAATGACAATAAAAGATACCATTTATCCACCACCTACTGTGTGCCAGGCTTCTGTACATGGATGTTACGCAGCTCTGGGAGGCTGGCACTGTCATTGTCCCCATCGTATGGATAGTGAGATGGAATGAATGCTGGGATGGCAGAATGAATGAATGGTGTGCTGGGTTGTGCACCAAAAACACAGTGGAGAAGAGGCTGAAACCTGGCGCTCCACACTCTGACCCCTGGCAGCCCATGGGCAGGTCAGGCTGGGCTGCCAAAGGGAAGAAGCCAAGGACGCACGTCAGGGCCTGGAGGAGGGGCCGGGCCTGTGGCCTTGGGAGTTCAGGACTCACTTCCTGCCGCCGGGTCTTTTGCGTCCCAGTGTTCCGAGAACTGGATTCCAGCCAGTTCCAAGGCTTGGGAGGGCCTGATGCCCGGTGGCTCTAAGCACAGGTTCTGGAGGCAGCCTGGGTTTGAAGCCGTTCCCCTACGCCCAGGCTGTGGGACCCTGGCAAGCCACCTTCCCTCTCTGGTCCTCAGTGTTCCTCACCTGTAACCACAGGAGGACAACGGCGCCTGCTGGAGGACTGGGTCACATGTGGCCTATCGTGAGCAGGGCTGGCACACAGAAGGCACGTGGCAGATGGTAGCGGGCACTGTGCTGATGGCTACTCCACCCCCACCTCCACCTGCTGGGATCCCAGGGGGACTCACCATGCTGGGAGATCCGGGCATGGGGTGGCCCAACAGGGGCTGGGGGCCCAGGGGGGCCAGGAGGCCCTGGTGGCCCAGGAGGTCCCCTCTCTCCAGGGGTGCCCACAGCTCCAGCCCGGCCAGGGCTCCCTGGGGGGCCCTGTGGACCTGCAATGGAATCACACGGATTTGTGGGTATACAGGAGGCAAGGAGGCCCAGGGTGGCCTTGAGCGACAGGACAAGGCAGCCTGGAGCAGTGGGCATGAGAGAGGGCCCCGGAGTCCACAGGCCTAGGCTGCCTGGTAGTCTAACAGGGGGATGAGCACAGCACCTAGTTCTCCACCTCGTCCAGGCTGAGTCTTCCTTCCTTGGGGCTCCCAAACCCCCAAAACCCCTCATAGAAACCCTGGTCACATGGGGCAAGCATTGCTGCTTCTCCTCTGCCCAGCCCTGCTCCCAGCAGCATGGAAGCTCCAGAAGGGCAGGGACATGTCTGACCCCACCCAGTGCCCAGCTCAGAGCCTGATAAGTGTAGGTGCCCAGGGAATGTGGGTCAGTGAACATAAGAGAGGACTTCATGGAGCCCAGGCGTGGGCAGGGCACTCCGTGGTGGGGTGCTGAGTGAAGAGGCAAGTAGATGAAAGGGCCCAGGTCATCCTGGCCATGTCAGGAGCAGGGAAGGGCCCACCTGGTGGAGGGGATGGCCAGAGGAGCTGTGGGGCAGCATTGCGGGCACTCACCTGGTGGGCCTCTCATCCCCATTGGGCCCCGACTGCCGGCATCTCCCTTGGGGCCGGTGGGCCCGGGAAGCCCCCAAGCACCGACTTGGTCTGGGGGGTAAAGCATATCAGACTGGCAGCTCCACATCTGCTCTTGACCCCCACCCTGGCCCCAGCCCCCCAACCAGCATCTACCATTTCGGGGAAGCAGCGGGACCCTCACACTCTCTATGGCTCCTGGCAGCCCTGGGGTGGGGGGGGTAGGCAGAGGTCAGTGTCCCTGCTGGGCCTGGAGGAGGGAGGCTCATCCAGAATCCCCACTCCCAGCTCCCCCCGACCTCCAGGCAGGGTCTGCTGGGGCTGCTTGGTCTCCAGGGACTGCAGCATTCAGGAGTCCCAGGAGACGGTCCTCTTAGGCGGGTCTAAGAAACGGGAAATGGGAAGACTGAGGCCCACTAGAGGGTTAAGTTGGGAGTCAGCGACAGGGTGGGGACCAGAATCCCACTTCCCCGATTCCCAACCCACTGCTCATTCCCACAGGGGAGTCTGAGTCTGACACTCACCCTGGAGGCCTCCATCTCCGGGGCTGCCCTGGGCAGGAGGGGGACCCCAGAGCGGGGCAGGGTCCTCAGGGGTAGCTGGTGTTGGAGGTACTGGCTGCTCTATGACAGTCAGCATGGTCATCTGAAGAGGAAGACAGGGACGGGGTGGGTACCAGGGTCTCACTAGGACCCCTCCCTATTTTTTTTGAGATGGAGTTTTGCTCTGTTGCCCAGGCTAGAATGCAGTAGTACTATGACGGCTCATGCAGCCTCAACCACCCGGGCTTAAGCGATCCTTCTGCCTCAGCCTTCCAAGTAGCTGGGACCACAGGGATGCACCACCACACATGGCAAATTTAAAAAAAAATTATTTGTAGAGACGAGGTCTCGCTATGTTGCCCAGGCTGGTCTTGAACTCCTGGGCTCAAGCAATCATCTTGCCTCAGCCTCCCAAAGTGTTGGGATTACAGGCATGAGCCAGGGTCTCACCACGGACAGGCCAGCCAAGGGGCCTGGTGTGGGAGGCAGGAGGCACATGGCCAGCAGGGCCCAGCTTGGAGTGGAGCCCCAGGCTCGCAGGGGCACCGAACTTCATCAGAAGTGACAGTGTTTTTCAAAGCACACAATTCATAACACGCATTATGGAAAAGTCACTGACACCATCATTGCCATCAAAGTTGAGCTTTGTGACTGTCGCGGTGCTTGCTGGGCCATGTGCTTTTTCTCTATGGTTATCCAAATAAGAAGCTTGTCTTGATTTCTTAAAGCACCACAGGGTATGGCTGGAAGAGTTTCACTTAGTTTGTTTTTTTGTTTTTTTTTTTTCCAAGATGGAGAGCCTTGCTCTGTTGCCCAGGCTGGAGTGTAGTGGCACGATCTCGGCTCACTGCAACCTCCGCCTCCCGGGTTCAAGTGATTCTCCTGCCTCAGCCTCCAGAGTAACTGGGATTACAGTCATGCGCCACCACACCTAGCTAATTTTTGTATTTTTAGTAGAGATGGGGTTTGACCACATTGGCCAGGCTGGTCTCAAACTCCTGACCTGAAGTGATCTGCTTATCTCAGCCTCCCAAAGTGTTGGGATTACAGGCGTGAGCCACCACTCCCGGCCTTTCACTAAATTTGGAAGGAAGTTTGGAAGAGTCTGACATGAAATAGAAACCTGGAGGTGTACACAAAGTCCACTTTTGGGCCCATGGTGAGGAAGACTCTGGGAAGCTGGAAGTGTCCCCTCAGCTGCTGAGGACCAACGAAAGGCCAGATGACCACAGATCAGGGGCTCAGGGATCGTGGGGGCCTGTCCAGAGAAAAGCTGAAACTCTCTGGCAGATCCTGAACCAGGAATTCCCATCAAGATGTGGGACTGAGTTGCCTCTTACATGGGCTTCTCCTGGGAGGGAGCTCAGGGAACTGCTCCTGGAACCCCGTGCCTTGTAACTCAGGTGCCAGCACACGCTATTTGGAAGCTTGGTTTTCCCATTTGATAAATCAGGGGCATCTTCTTTTTTTTTTTTTTTTGAGGTGGAGTTTTGCTCTTGTTGCCCAGGCTGGAGTGCAATGGCGTGATCTTGGCTCACCGCAACCTCCGCCTCCCAGGTTCAAGCAATTCTCCTGCCTCGGCCTCCCTAGTAGCTGAGATTACAGGCATGCGCCACCAAGCCTGGCTAATTTTGTACTTTTAGTAGAGATGGGGTTTCTCCATGTTGGTCAGGCTGGTCTCGAACTCCTGACCTCATGTGATCCGCCCGCCTCAGCTTCCCAAAGTGCTGGGATTACAGGCATGAGCCACCGCGCCCAGCGGCATCTTCTTTTTTTTAATTTTAGAGACAGGGTCTAGCTCTGCCGTCCAGGCTAGAGTGCAGTGGTGCTATCACGACTCACTGCAGCCTTGTCCGTCTGAGCTCAAGTGATCCTCCTGCCTCAGCCTCTTAAGCAGCTGGGACTGTGTGCCAGCTGTGTGCCACTAAGCCTAGCTAATTTTTTGTAGAGATGGAGTCTTGCTATGTTGCCCAGGCTGGTCTCGGGCTCCAGGCCTCAAGCAATCCTCCTGCTTCGGCCTTCCAAAGTGCTGGGATTACAGGTGTGAGCCACCATGCCCAGCCTAGAGAAATCTTTTCATATTAGGGAAGGGAAGTATTGTAAATGGCTGCTGAATGCCCCATAGAATGAATTCTCCACAATTATACAACCATGCCTTCTTTTGCCTGGTTTTCAAATTTCTCTATTGGTAAACATTTTTGCATCTGATAATCTCATTAAGTTCCCAGGCTGGGCACAATGGCTCACATCTGTAATCCCAACACTCCTGGAGGCTGAGGCAGGAGGATTCCTTGAGGCCAAGAGTTCAGGACCAGTTTAGGAAACATAGCAAGACCCCAGCTCTAAAAAAAGTTTTTTAAACTAGCCAGGTGTGGTGGCACATGTCCGTAATGCCAGCTACTCAGGAGGTTGGGGCAGGAGGATAGCTTGAGCCCAGGAATTGGAGGCTGCAGTGAGCTCCAACTCACGGCAGATTGCAATGCCTGCACTCCAGCCTGGGTGACAGAGCAAGACCCTGTTTCTGAATCAAAACAAAACGAACAAACAAAAGATAAATTTCCAGAGAAGGGAATGATGGAGCAAAGAATGGCACTAAAGTGTATGCATGTCTGTGTGTTTAGAAAATCTGGAAGAAAGGATGCTTAAGTGTCGACAGTTGCATTCTTTGGGGGCATGGGCAACTGCTGTGAATGGTTTGCTGGCTGTTTTTTCACATTTCTGAATTTTTCATGTTTCTAAATTTAGAATGTTGTACTTTTTAATTTAAATTAATTAATTAATTACTTTTTTTTTTCTTGAGACGGAGTCTCGCTCTGTCGTCCAGGGTGGAGAGCAGTGGTGCAATCTCGGCTCACTGCAACCTCTGCCTCCTGGGTTCAAGCAATTCTCTGCCTCAGCCTCCCAAGTAGCTGGGATTACAGGTACCTGCCACCACACTCGGCTCATTTTTTTTTTTTTTTTTTTTTGAGATGGAGTTTCGTTCTTGTTGCCCAGGCTGGAGTGCAATGGCACAATCTCGGCTCACTGCAACCTCTGCCTCCCGGGTTCAAGCGATTCTCCTGCCTCAGCCTCCCGAGTAGCTGGGATTACAGGCATGCGCCACCATGCCCGGCTAATTTTTGTATTTTTAGTAGAGATGGGGTTTCTCCAAGTTGGTCAGGCTGGTCTTGAACTCTTGACCTCAGGTGATCCGCCCTCCTTGACCTCCCAAAGTGCTGTGATTACAGGCGTGAGCCACGGCACTCGGCCCCGGCTAATTTTTTGTATTTTTAGTAAAGATGAGGTTTCACCATCTTAGCCAGGCTGGTCTTGAACTCCTGACCTTGTGATCCACCCGGCTCGGCCTCTCAAATGCTGAGATTACAGGCATGAGCCACTGCGCCTGGCCTAATTTGTTTTTTTTTTTTTTTTTTTTTTTGAGACAGAGTCTCGCTCTGTTACCCAGGCTGGAATACAGTGGCGCAATCTTGGCTCACTACAACCTCCACCTCCCAGGTTCAAGTGATCCTCAAGCCTCAGCCTCCTTTGTAGCTGGGATTATGGGTGTGTGCCACCATGCCAGGCTAATTTTTGTATTTTTAAAAGAGACAGGGTTATGCCATGTTGGCCAGAATGGTCTCGAACTCTTGGCCTCAAGCAATCCACCTGCCTCGGCCTCCTAAAGTATGGAGATTACAGGTGTGAGCCGCTGCGCCAAGCAGTACTTTTTAATTTAAAAAAAAAAAAAAGTTTTATGGCAGCGCAGCGGCTCACACCTGTAATCCCAGCACTTTGGGAGGCCAAGACAGTGAATTGCTTGAGCTTAGAAGTTCAAGACCAGCCTGGGCAACATGGAGAAACCCCATCTCTACCAAAAATTTAAAAATTAGCTGGATGTGGTATTGTTCACCTATGGTCCCAGCTACTCAGGAGGCTGAGGTGGGAGGATCATTTGAGCCCAGGAGGCATAGGTTGCAGTGAGCTGAGATCTCGCCACTGCACTCCAGCCTGGGCAACAGAGGAAGACCCTGTTTCAAACAAAACAAAACAAAAAATACACAACATTTTATCTTGAAATAATTTGAGATGTGTGATAGATGTTTTGTTTTTGAAACCAGGAAGATAGTATTATGGATGGGGGTTGGGGGGATAGAGAAAGGGGATGGGGCAGGGGCAGGCAGGAGATCCTACCAGGATCTCTGGGCAGTGTCTATGCTGATCTGGTGGGGATGGTGATGGAGCCCCATGGGAGGGAGCTCACAGGCCTCCTGGAGGAAGAACAGGCCAGGCTGGCTGTGACTTGCGCTTCACATATACAGTTTTCCCTGAGTGGATGCTAGTATCCCCTCCGCTTGACAGGTGGGAAAACTGAGGCACGACCTGTGAGCAGGCTTCCTAGGGAGGGACACTGGAGGAGACCATGACATGCCTGACAGGGGATGCTGCTCGCCGAGTCAGTTCAGAGCTGCCCTGTGGGTTCACTGAGGGTGCGAGCATGGGGTGCGGGGAAGGAGGTGGGGAGGGTGGGATGGTGGTTGCCTGGACTGGCCTGTGGCAGGGAACAACCACCCAGGAGGGAGCTGCTCACCCACCTTGGCCTCCAGCACCTTCAGCCGCTCTGTCAGCTCTGACACTTTGCTGCAGTTGAGACAACCTGCGGGGAGGGAGGAAGCTGGGGCCAGGGCCAAGGGTCCTAGGCTTCCCCTCAGAACCCTTCAGTCTCTGGGGGTTGGGATGGAGGAAAGCGTCAGATACCTGATGACCCCAACCCACGAGGGACCTTAGGCTTGGGAAGGGCTATAGGATCACAGTGGGTCCAGGGGGACCTCACCCTATGGGTTCCTTTTGGCACTGGAGCCTCCAGAGTGGCCTGCTTCTCCGGCAGCAGGACCAGGGACCTGACCCCTGGCAGCCTCTGTGTCCAAAATGACCCTTTTCCCAGAAGCCAAGAAATGGCAATGGGGCGGGGGCCATGGATGAGGCTGAGGACTTCTCCAGCGACCCCAGCCAGCCTCATGGGCTAAGAGTTTAGAGCTCAGACAAGCCTGGGTCTGAGCCTCGACACTTACTGTCCCGCGTGACTTGTCCTCTCTGGAAAGATCCTGTTGCTTCCTGCCTGGGCAGGGCTGGGGCCAGGGCTTGCCGGCTTTGGGGACCCACCCAGCGCAGTCTGGACTGGGCTGGCCTCAAAGGTCCCAACCTCTGAGCCTCCCCTGACCCACCATCCAGCACCGCTCCCCCGGCCGCCTGGCTGAGACTCACGAGAATGACATGAGTCATTCACAGCAGCTGTGGACATTTACAGAGCCTCCCAGCTGCTGGCCCAGCCAAGTGCTATGCCAGCAGTCTCTCCCCTCCTCACGGGAGTGTCACCCCTGTTCACACCTGAGGACACGGCTCAGAGCAGGAAGGGGTGAGTGCCTAACTAGCACAACATCTGGGGTCTAGTCCTGGTGCTGCCCCCACTCCTGGCTGTGGGGCCTGGGGCGGGGCAGGGCAGGGAGGTCGGAGACCTTCAGCTTCCTCCTCTTTAAAAAGGGGACAATGGGCGGGCAGTGAACAGCTGTGAGGTCTAAACGAGCTGCTGATGGGAAGCGCCTGGCACAGGGCCTCCAGCACTGCTGATGCTCAGAAAAGTGCTGATTAAATAAAAAGGGGAAATGGGGGATTGAACTGGCATCTGCAAGAGTCCAGGGGTCATGGGTCTCAGGGTGTCTGGGCCCAGGTCAGATGACCCTCTAGGGTCCTTTCTGTGCCCCTTGAAGCAACTTTTGTAGCCTGGGGAGCATGGGGTGGGAAGATAGTTACTGTCCTTGACCCTCCACTGCCAGACCTACTGGCTTTTAGGACAGTTACCAAACTGCCCTGAGCCCCCTCCAGGGCTCCCTCAGCCCAGGGGGACCTCAAGAAGCTATCCCAGGACCCACCTGAGAAGGCTGTGGGCCGAAGCGCCATCCGCCGCATGGTACTGCCCGACCACATGGGCTCCAAGGAGGCAGAGGAAGCTGCAACTAAGGGATGGAGGGTGAGAGCCCTGCTGGCATGTGATCCTTGCCTCCTCAGGCCCCCCTGCCCACCACTGTAGCCCCAGCAGGGACCCCTACTGCCCTCAGCGTAGGACACAGAGGCCCAGAGGAGAGGCAATGTATCTGGGTCAAACAGCATGAACTGGGCTGAGCTAGAGCAAGGCTGGCCACCTGATAGGGCTGGAAAGAGGGGCTGGCAATGGGGCGGGGGCCATAGATGAGGCTGAGGGCTTCCCCAATGACCCCAACCAGCCTCATGGGCTAAGAGGTTAGCGCTCAGACAAGCCTGGGTCCGAGCCCTGACACTTACTGCCCTGCATGACTTGTCCTCTCTGGACTTATTTTCCCATCTGTAAAATGGGATTCTAAGGCCTCTAAACCTCCCAGGCTGGGGTGAGGCCTGAGGTCGGCCATGAATGCAAAGGGCCCACTGTGCACACACAGGGACTGGCACACACAGTAGGTGCTCAATAAATGGCCGCCGTGGCTGTCGCCATCCACACTCTTGCTGCCTGGCTTGGTAAGAGGAGACTGAAGTGGATTCAGCCCTGGTTTTAAATGAAAACCAGAGGGAGGCTGGCTGCCTGGGAGGGCAAGGGGAGCCAGTTCCAGGGCCAACCCCTGCTGCCACCCCTACCGGAGGAGAACCCCCCTCACCCTCCCCAGCCGCCCTGGCTGGTCTGGTTTTGGGGGACTGGTTTTCTCCACAGCTGGAGGGATGGACTGGCCAAACCAGGGGCGGGGGCATAGCTGGAGAGGCTGTGGAGCCAGCACTGGCAACTGCCCCCCTCAGCCCCCCAGGCCTTCCTTTTAAGGCCACGAAATGTTGTCTGGGAGGAGACAAGACCCAAATAAGGCGCGGGCCTGGCAGCTCGGAGCGGGGCTGTGGGTTGATGCAGGGAGCGAGAGGCGCCGGGAACTCAAACCAGACGGGTCCCTCTGGCCAGCCCCCAGCGGAGGCTGCCAGGCCCTGCTCTGGGTCCCATTGTGGGGCCTTCACTCGTGCTGAGCCTGCATCCCCAGCATACCCTCCTCAAGGGCCTGTGACTTGCCCAGGCACAGGGGGCTAATCTCACCCAGGATGGAGGAAGGTGGGTTGCCAGCCCAGGACTGGGGCCGGCACTGGGGACTCCCTGGGGAGGGGAGACATCACTGTGAACCATGCTCATGTGAAGGACCTTGTATAGCCTGGCTCAATCCTACAAGGAAGGTGATAATCAGAACAGACAACTCTTGTTTAGCATTTACCCTGGCCCTGGCACCATCTAAGCACTTCACATACATAGTCTTAACTGTGAGTGGGTGCTAGTATCACCTCCAATTCACCTCCACTTTCCAGGTAGGGAAACTGAGGCACAGGGCAGCTCTGTGCTACCTCTTCTCTGTCACCCATGCTCAGATAAAGGTGGATGAGAGAATGAAGCTCAGCTCCACTTCCCCGCTAGGAGGAAATGAGGCAGAGAAGAGAGGCAACTCGGCATCAGTTGTCCACGGGACAGTCCCAAGCCTGGATTTGAACACAGGTCTGCCTGATTCCAGGGCCAGATTTCTTTTTTTGGTTGGTGGAGGTGGGGGGCACCTGGCAGGGAGGCTCAATGTTCAGCAGGAGCGCTGGTGCCTGAGAAGAACAGTCTCACCAAGCCCTCTTCATTCTTTCTGCTTCCAGGTGGAGATGTGATGTCATTTTAGTACTCTTTTTGAGAAGTTGACCAAAAGAAGCGGCCATCTCTTGCAACCTGGGGATATTTGAGTTTCCTCTGTGATGAAGCTTCGGCTGCTCCCCCCACCTGCTTCTGCCCTCCCCTCTACTCTGCTGTTGTTTTCTTTTTTTTCCCATTGCATTATCTACCTTCTAGCGTGTTATTAACTGCTCCAGTTTCCCAGGCCACTGCCTGTCATCTGGCCTCCTGGCTGGAACATCAGCCCCACTAGGGCAGGGACCTTGTCTGTTTTGTGCTTGGCCTACAAAAGTGCCCAGCACCCAGTAGGACCTCATGGGCCTCATGTATAAAACTTCTTTTTTTTTTGAGACGGAGTCTCGCTCTGTCACCCAGACTGGAGTGCAGTGGTGCAATCTCGGCTCACTGCAACCTCCGCCTCCTGGGTTCAAGCGATTCTCCTTCCTCAGCCTCCAGAGTAGTTGGGACAACAGGAGCGTGCCACAATGCCCAGCTAATTTTTGATATTTTTAGTAGAGGTGGGGTTTCACCGTATTAGCCAGGATGGTCTCCATCTCCCGACCTCGTGATCCACCCGCCTTGGCCTCCCAAAGTGCTGGGATTATAGGCATAAGCCATCGCGCCCGGCCATGTATAAAACTTTTGTTGATGAATACATGAATCACCAACTGAAAATAAATTTTGAGCAAGCAAACCAAATATAAGGCAGAAACAACTGTCTTGAAAGTCAACATAGGCCAGGCACAGTGGCTCACGCCTGTAATCCCAGCACTTTGGGAAGCCGAGGAGGGTGGATCACCTGAGGTCAGGAGTCCGAGACCGGCCTGGCCAACATGGCAAAACCCTGTCTCTACTAAAAATACAAAAATTAGCTGGGGGTGGCGATGCGTGCCTGTAATCCCAGCTACTTGGGAGGCTGAGGCAGGAGAATCGCTTGAACCTGGGAGCGGAGGTTGCAGTGAGCTGAAATTGCACCACTGCACTCCAGCCTGGGTGACAAAGTGAGACTCCTCAAAAAAAAAAAAAAAAAAAGTCAGCATAAATGGGCCAGGCGCAGTGGCTCACACCTGTAATCCTAGCACTTTGGGAGGCTGAAGTGGGCAGATTGCTTGAGCCCAGGAGTTTGACACCAGCCTGGGTAACATGGCAAAACTCTGTCTCTACAAAAAATTTAAAAATTAGCTGGGTATGGTGGCGCATGCCTGTAGTCCCAGCTACTTGGGAGACTGATACGGGAGGATAGCTTGAACTTGGAAGGTCGAGGTTGCAGTGAGCTGTGATTGTGCCACTGCACTGAAAGAGTGAGACCCTATCTAAAAAAAATAATAAAATCAGCATAAATGTTTTAATGTCACACTAGAGTGTCCCTGAGTTATTAATCTGTAAACTTGTGGTTGGAAATTCTTTTTCAACCAGTTTGTTTTCAGCGTTTCTCCAGGGACCAGAAAGAATTAGGAAAACAAATAAAAACATGGTCTGACCAGCAGCATAGACATCAAATGCTCAAAGTAATTGCAAATTTAAATTAAAAAAAGAAAAGAGTTTAAAGAAATAACAAAACTGTTCAAAAGACCAGAAAATTTTGGCTTTGGATTCAAGATTCACAAAAAGTTATCCAAAAACTCCCCCAAAATTCTGAGAAATGGACAGAAACATTTTAAGGGATGTAGCAGGTTGTAAAACGACCCTGTAGCACACAAAATTCCAGTAAGGAAGAAGCCACAGGTTGTGGGGAGATCTGCTGTTGGACAAAATGTCATATCCTGGCCGGGCGTGGTGGCTCACTCCTGTAATCCCAGCACTTTGGGAGGCCGAGGTGAGCAGATCATGAGGTCAGGAGATCGAGACCATCCTGGCTAACATGGTGAAAGCCCATCTCTACTAAAAATACAAAAAATTAGCCAGGTGTGGTGGCAGACGCCTGTAGTCCCAGCTACGCGGGAGGCTGAGGCAGGAGAATGGCGTGAACCCAGGAGACGGAGCTTGCAGTGAGCCGAGATCGCGCCACTGCACTCCAGCCTGGGCGACAGAGCAAGACTCCTTCTCAAAAACACAGAACAAAACAAAATAAAACAAAACAAAATGTCATATCCCTCCCATTGGTGTTTGGTCAAAGGCCCTGAAACAGGCCCCCATGAGCTGAGACCCTCCTCACCTCAGCCTGGTGGTTCCTACTGAAGGGCTCCTCCCTAGCCTCAACCTTGTCCTCTCAGGGGGGCCCTGAAGGCTGGTCCCAGGACCACAAACCCCAGCTCCACTCTGGGAGCCTGACTGTGGGCCACTTCCCACCATCTGGGAGGCCCTCACGTGCCCTACACACACACACACACACACACACACACACACACACACACACACACACACACACACACGTTCCCACCCCATGCCCTCCCCTAATCTCTACAGCTGCTGCACCCATGTCACCTCCTCCAGGAAGCCTTCCCAAACAGGCCAGTACACCTCCCAGTGTCAAAGCCCCTTCGAAGCTCATCACTCCCTGTCTTGACCTCCACATCTTGACCTCCACACGGCCAGTGTTGCCTGTAGTTTCTAGCCCTGGGCCCCATAAGCAGCTCTTCTTCCCTCTGCCCAGTGCCAGGCCTGAGCTAAGAAGCTTTGTGCCCCTTCTCAGGACCCTCATGACACCTCATGACACAGAACACTGAGGTCCAGAGAGGAGAGGCTTCCGCTCTGTCCTTGCAGTGGGACGAGGGGGGCTGGGATTCCAATCTTGCCCTAAATTGGGGATTAGAGATGTGAAAAGTTGGGGATTCGGGGTGTGAAAAGCTGGGGGTATCCCTGGGATCCACCTTCATGACATTCTCTCCCTGGAGAGGAGCCAAAGGGCTTCCTCGTTCACAACCGACCCCCGAGATCTGCTCTGCTCGGTTTAGTAACCACAGGCCATAGGGAGGCAGCCTTCCCAGCCCCAGTCCAGGTCTCCTGCAAGGAATTTACTTTGCAAATGTAAATATTTGCTTCCAGTGACCAGAGCCAGGGGTTAGGGTCGGAGCTGGGGCTGGGAGCTCCAAAAACTCTCCAGCCCAATCAGGAGCCTCCAGGAAGGCTTAGTCTATGTCCGGCCTGGCCTCCTCCTCAGGGTAGGCAAAGTTCCTATTCAATTCCTGTGCACTCACTTTATACATGGCCCGTGCCAGGCACTGGGGATGTGGGAGTAATGGTGGCAGGATGGGGGTCAACCTAGCCAGGTGGGAGCACCCAGTGGGTTGCAGGCAGAGCAGCGACTTGCCGGCCACTGCCAAGGCCGTGTATGGGAGACAAAGCCAGTGTGGGCAGGGGGTTCAAACAGAAGGAGGGTGAGGTTCAGGGGATGCAGGCAGGGGCTGAGAGAGTGGAGGAGGCAGCCATGTTGGCTGGGCGTGCAGGATGGGCTGGCAGGAGGTGGGGGTTGCTGGGACTTCCAGGAGTGGGGGTGGCTGGGCGGTGGATGTAGGTGGATTTGCAATGTTTAGCCCTCGGATTCTGAATCTGCAAAGTAAAGCTCAGACTTAGCACCATACCTGGAACCTGGTTAAGATGAAAGAGATGAGTGTGGAGAGCGCCCAGCCCTGGATGGTAGAAGGGACCAAGGAGCACAGGAAGGGCCTGGGCTAGAATCTCAGTCTGTTTTTAGGCTATTTTAAAATTTTATTTTTAGAGACAGGATCTTGCTCTGTCACCTAAGCTGGAGTGCAGTGGCAGGATCACAGCTCACTGCAGACTTGAACTCCTGGGCTCAAGCAACCCTCCTGCCTCAGCCTCCTGAGTAACCAGGACTATAGGTGTGCACCACCATGCCCAGCTAATTTTTTAACTTTTTTTTTTGAGATAGGGTCTTGCTATGTTGCCCAGGCTAGGCTTGAACTTCTGGCCTCAAGCAATCCTCCTGCCTTGGCCTCCCAAAGTGCTTGGATTACAGGTGTGAGCTGCTGTGCCTGGCCTGTTCTTAGGCTATTTTGTGGTCGACCTCGGGCAAGTGTCCCCTCTCTGGTTCCTCTTCTTGGAAGACAAGGGCTGTGAGGAACCATGGACAGGGAAGGAATATGTATGCTGGGGACAATGGGACCTATGAGGGGGAAGCAGAGGCAGCCCAGCTCCAGGGGGCCCATGGGGAGGGGAGGGGAGGGAGCCCCGGCCTCTCTATCTTTCTATCTAGGAGGAGCTGGGGCTGAGACTGGCTTCTGCCAGCCTCACAGCATCCCAGCTGTCTGAACACACTCCCGGGGACATCCTCAGCCAGCACTGCTGCAGGGGAAAGACCCCTGACTGCAGTCAGACTGACCGGGTTTGAGCTCGGCTCCTCAGCTCACAGGCTGCTCCCCTGGACAAGGCATTCCCCTCTCTGAGCCTCAGTTTCTGCATCTGGGCCTTCTGTACCATGACTTGATGGCTCCTGCAGGGGGTAAACCTTGCAGCGCCCAGCACGGAGGACGGTGGCAGCTTTCTTTCTCCTTGTCCTGATTATTGCAGGAGGATCTGGGGCAGGGGGATGCCACAGAACTCAGGTCGGCACCCTGGGGAGAAACCTGGCGACAATACTTGCTTGCTGTGTGACCTTATGTGAGACCCACGCCCTCTCTGAGCTTCACTTTCATCATCCGGACAGTGGGGCTGATCTGTCTGCAGGAAGCCTCAAGAGGCAGAGTGACATGGGGTTTACTGCAGCAGCCCCAATGTCAGCAGAGCCCACTGGCCCAGGCACTCAGGGGTCAGGCCCAGGCCCAGAAAAGGTGATTGTGGGGCTCGGCCCGCCCTCCTGACATGGCCCTGGCATTGCGCCCACCCCTCCCTGGCCCACTTGGTGCATTCTGGCCTTGGTTCTTCCTCACCCATTGTTTCTGATAAGCCCTATTGTTTCTGATGAGAGGCAGCCAGGTGACCCCTTCCCCACCTCCTGAGGCCTGGGGGCACAGAAGCTTGCTCAGACAGGTCCCAATCCTGGCTCTCACCTGCCGAGTGACCTCAGGCCAGTCCCATCACCTCTCTGAGCCTCAGTTTCTCCATCTGTAAAATGCAGCCCATTCTAGCCCCTTCTCCACAGGTTGCCATGGACACCAAATGAGACAATCCTCATTCGTCACAAAGTGAACATCCCCATTCTGCAGAAAACCAGGGCCCAGTGCCGTGAAGTCCTTCACTAGAGCCCACCAGCCTCACAGAGACTCAAGGTCCGTTTCTTGAGCAGCTGACTGTGAAGTGGGGTCTCAGAGGCGGGAGGCAGGGCTGTGTCTGCCAGGTCGCCACGGAATCCCCAGCATGGGGTAGGCGGTGGGGGAGCAGGATGGGAGAGGAAGACATTTGCGGAGCATCTACCATGAGCCAAGCATGAGTGCTACTTCTTCATGCTGGGTGACTTCCAGATAAAGCCAAGGTTCAGAGAGGAGAAGTGACTTGCCCCAAGTCACACAGCAGAGTGCAGCTGATTTAGGGCTGGATTCCAGAATGGCAGGTGTTCCCTCTCCTCCTTTGGCCCACCCCAGGCTGCCCTGGGTCCTGTTGGCCCTGGTGATGCAGCTCTATGGCTCGAGGGTCAAGAGACAGCACTGGGCAGGTGACAAGAGTGGGCACCAGCAGGAGAAGCAGCTTGGGAGCCCAGCCTGAAACCAACTGTGGGAGGAAGGGCAGAGACCAGGGTCCCCTGGCAATGTCCCTATGCCTCTCTGCTCCCCATTCCTAGGACCCCAGCAGAGTTTTCTAGAATAGTGGATGCATCCACTCACCCACCTCCCTTTCCTCCATAGGCTCCAACATTTCATCCTAGCAATACCCAGGGAGGCAGACTCTTATCATCCTGCCCATTTCCCGGGTGAGGACACTGAGGCTGAATGTGGACGAGCCGGGGCTGCTGCAGGCACACACAGCAGCTTGGTGCCTTTTAGTGATGGTGCCTTTCCCTCCGAGTGGGCATGAGAAGAATGCTGCCTGGAGTGCAGCACCCCCAAGCCCAGGGCCCTTGCACAATGACTTGCACAAGCACGGGAAGTCCCCGGCCCAAGGCCATGCAGCTGGTGTGTGGCAGAGCTGGCCCAGCCTAGGAAGCCTCAGATATCCCATACCCACGCTGGGACCTGAAGGCCCCACAGAGGGAGCTGGCCTGGCTCCATTGCCTGGCTCATGCCCCTGCCTTAGCATCAGCAGAGCCCCCAGCCCTTGGCCTGGCTCCTGGACTCACGGCCTCCAGCAGCTAGATTCAAGGGCATGGGTGCTGTCCCCACCTGTCCTCTCCCTCACCAACTCCTTGAAGGCCCCAGAGACCAGGAAGGTCTGCCCTTGGGAGGGGAGCCAGGGACAGAATGGCCTTTGTCTGGGGAGGCTCTGCCTGGGCCCAGGCGGCCCCCATGCCCTGGGGATTCGGCCCTCCCCTCCACAGCTCCTCTGTGGTCTCCTTGGCAGCTGCCCCTCCTGGCTGGCTCTCCTGCCCCTCGGCCCCACCTGCCTTCCCCTCTCCCTCCCACCAGGGACAAGAGGGTGCTGTTCCTGGCTCCCCTTCAAACGTCTGTCCACCCGCTCCAGCCTCCCACACTGGCCCTTGTGGCTGCCTCTCCGCAGGGGTGTTTGGCATGGGGCGTCTCAGCTCTCCCTCTAGCCACCCGGTTTCTTCCCGGCTTCACTGGGTACTCCTCTACCCCATGTCAGAACCTGCCAGACCCCTCCCCACTGCGTGGTGAGTTCTGAACCCCATCCCCATGGCCGTGTGCCTCTGGGCACTCCACTCCACCTCACTGGGCCTCAGTCACCCTATCTGTGAACTGGGCTGTTGAGGGTCCCCGGGAGGTGAAGTGTGCAAATCTCCCAAGAAACACCTGTGAGCCGTGGCTTCTGGAAGCACCATGTTCCTTTGAGTCAGAGGCTACATTTTCGCACATTTGTGTTTCCGGAATTGGGGTATATCCTGAGACTGATGTTCACGTTCATGTGCTGCTGTGGGGGCCCTGAATGCTTCTGTCCCTTGAGCTGTCTCTGGGCCTGGTTCTCAGGATGGTTCTGGGCCAGCCCATCCTCTTTAGCGCCATGCTTGGAAACACAGCTCTTGGTGTCCAAAAATCTGCTGCTCATGGGTTCAGCCAGGCAGTGAGGATGGGAGAGGCCTGGGCTGCTCAGCAGAGGGGCAGGTGCCTGGAGGAGAGGAGAGGGTTCTGCAGGGGAGAGTGTGGCCAGGCTCCTGGGAGGCCCAGGCTGCCTCCTCTGTGCCCCTGCAGGGTGCTCAGCCCTGAGCCACCCAGAGGTACACACAGTGAAGCCAGGTGGGGTGAGAGAAGTCCCTGAGCCTGGGACATGCTCTGCACACAAGGGCCCAGCCGAGCCCTCCCATCCCTGGAGCCCAGGGGTGGGGGGGCGGGGAGTGCAGCCTGGCAGACAGACAGAGGTGTGTGCCCCTCCCCTTCCTGAGCCTCGGTTTCCTCATCTGCAGGATAGGTAAAACCATTCTTACCTCTCTGACCCATGAACTGACTAAAATGGTTCTTTGCTTCTCTGTAATGTCTGTTATCGTGTCATACAGAAATGTCTGGATGGGTTTTCCCCGAGTGTGGAGGAAAGATTTAGGATAGCATGACTTAAAATGTGAGCTATGCAGCATATATAAAATTCTTCTGGGGGTCCTGAGAGTCTCCCAAGAGGCAAGCGGTCACCGTGGGGGGCAGGGGGGACAACAAGCACTGACTGTGTCTGAGCCAGGCTCTGTGCAGCTGGCCCCAGCAGGCATGGTACTGTGCATGACTCTCTTAATAGTTCACGGCTCCATGCACCTGCAGGGAGGCACCTGGCCTGCTGTCGCAGGGCTCCGGGAGCCGGCCGGGCAGTCCTACCTTCCTCGCAGCTCACTCCTGAGTGCCCAGGGCAGCACCTCCACTCACGGGCGGTCACTATCTTGTACATCACCTTGTATGTGGGTCTCACCACAGTTCTGTAGCTGAAAGAGTCCCCAGGTGGCCCAGCTGAGACAGGGTCCTCCATGACCTCTCCCACTGCCCTGGACACCCATGGGGACAAACCTAGAGCTTCCAGGATCCTCTGCTGCCTCCAGGTCCCTTTGGAGGCTCTCTCCTGCATTTTGGGATTCAGCCCTTCCATCCCCCCACCACCTTGCCACAGGGATTGGAGATTGGATACCAGCTGGACAAGAAGACCCTGCAGGCTGGGCTGGCCTGAGCCCAGCGTGAATACTCACTGAGTAAAGGAATGCAGGCAAATGGTGTATCCATCCCTCAGGAAGCCCTCCAGGGTGCTTCAACAGCACAGGGGATAGGCTGAGAATGGTGTCGGCTGATGCTACCTTTGCTCCGCCCACCCTGGGGTCCAGTCTTCCCCCACACTCCCCATGCAGTCCCCCAACCAGGCCTTTGCCCAAACTGTGCCTCCACCTGGAATGCCATCAGTTCCTTCTCCACCTCATTTACCTGCTCCCCGGACAGCTCATGGGCCAGGGGCAGTTCTGCAGCACTCGCTGAAGGTAGGTGCCATTCTGCACATGGCATGAGATGGTGCGGGTCACCACATAGGAGCACCAGTTCCTGAAACAGACCCAAAGAGAGGAAACTCAGGTACCACACAGGGTCCCCTGCTGGGGACTCCAGGAGGATGGGTGAGGACGTCCGTGTTCTCTTCAAGAGCCCTGAATCCCCAGGCAGCGAGAAGCCCTGAGCTTGCAAAGTCATTTGGGCCCAAATGGCTGGGGGGAGTCCCTGTGGCTGAGGGGTGAATGTCATGGCCCTAGGGGTGGGGCTGTGCAGAGAGTTCTCAGTAGGTCTTGAGGAATGAATGGCAGGGGAAAGATGGAAGCGGGCCATCTTCCCCTGAGCTCTCGCTCCCCAACTTCTCTCCTCTCCAACTTTGACCCATCCAGGCCATCATCACTGCCTGGCTCTTGCCTGGACAACTACAGTGAGTGGCCTCTCCATCTGCCCCTCGGTCCCTCCCTAGAGGCAGTGTCACAGAATGGAAACCTGCCTACATCCTTGCCTTGCCTACCCAACTCCCCAACCCTCAGGATCTCCTGTACCCACACCTGCCCCAGGCCTTTGCTGGTGCTGGGCCCTCTGCCTGGAGTACCCTTCCTCCGCTTCTCCCCATGGCGCCTCCTACCTTCAAAGCCCAGATGTGACATGGCCTATTCCCTCCATCCTTTCCCATCTCCACCCTGACCCGAGCAGTTCTGATGGTGCCCTGCCCTGGCTCCCGCAGCATCTGCACACCTGTCACGCTGAATTAAGCTGCCAATTTGTGCCTGCCCCCTCCGCCAGCATGCAAGAGGAGAGGCCCTGTCTCACCCATTCCCATGTCCCCTCCGTGGAATGGCTGGGATGTGTAATCAATGCCCCAAGCCCAGAGGACTGAGTTCTCCAAACACCAACTAATAATCGGAGTGCACTGCACATATTGAGCACTTATTATATGCTAAAGGTATTTACACTATCCTCTGATGGTGAGGAAGGTACCCCCACCCTGTTTTTACAGAGGGGAAACTGAGGCTTGGGGAGGTGAAGACAACTGCTTATGTCACAGCTGGTGCGTGGAGAAGCCAGATTTGAACCCAGCAAGGTGGATGGCCTAGCCCAGCCTCTGACGCCATCCCAGAGCCTCAGCTCCCGTCTTCTCCTCATCTCCTTGAGCCACGGTCTGTGGCTCTGTAAACGCCCCGGCCTGGGAACCTGCTGACCCCAGGCTTGAGGGCAGGAAGAAAGTCTGGGAGGGGTGGGGGACCCAGGCTGAGAAGGGTCACCTGAAACCATCCCTCCTTCCCCAACCCCTGCAAAAAGCACAGGGCCCGTGACCCTGTGCAGGGCTGAGGGCTGCTGAGCACCTGGAATGTCCCGGCCTTCACAGAGACTCCCATGCCGACCACAGTGCAGCCCCCACTCGCTGCAGCCCTGCCCCCACCCCAGACCACCAGAAGGAGAAACTCCTGGGCCAGGACCAGGCAACTAACTCAATTTAGGGCCCTGTGGAATTCCCTTCATCTTTCTGTGCCACACCAGAATCAGTGCTGGAAGAGGAAACAACCTAGGTACAGCCCTGGAGGTGGGAAGGCTGGGAGAAGGGATGGTTCAGTTTGGCCCATGAAGCAGGAGAAGCTCAACAGAGCCTTCAGCCAGCCATCCCATGCAGAGGTGACAGGTGCCTGCCATGGCACCATCAGAAATGGCACAAAACTGGGAACAGCCTAAACAGCTATGGAGCCACCGGACATGGGAAACCAGATGCTGTGACAAAGCCCGAGGTCTCTGCGTGCTGACCTGAGACCCAGCTATCACACCTAGTTACGGGGAGGAAAAAAGCAGACAAAGACCAATGGATATACAGTGATTGCATTTCTATTACATTAAGAGAGAGACAGAACGTCAACTATTTCTATATGCGTGCACATGTACAGATATGTGCATATAAAGTGAGAAAAAAATGACACTTTTCTCAAACTGCCATGTCTGGGAGCAAGGAGGGCTTTCCATCTGCTCCGTCTACTACACGAACAGTAGCTATGTTTATCATGCTTGCTGCACGCCAGGAGCTGTGCCCAGAGCCGTCCACGTGTTCGCTCAGTTAAATTCTCACACTCTTATTAAAAAGCCACTTCAGGCTGGGCACAGTGGCTCATGCCTGTAATCCCACCACTTTGGCAGGCCGAGATGGGTGGATCACGTGAGGTCAGGAGTTCGAGACCAGCCTGGGCAACATGGAGAAACCCTGTCTCTACTAAAAATACAAAAAATTAGCCGGGTGTGATGGTGGGAGCCTGTAATCCCAGCTACTCAGGAGGCTGAGGCAGGAGAATTGCTTGAATCTGGGAGGCGGAGGTGGCAGTGAGCTGAGATCGCACCATTGCATTCCAGCCTGGGCAACAGAGTGAGACTCCGTATCAAAAAAAAAAAAGCCACATTACAGATGGGAAGACTGAGACTCTGGGGTCCAGGACGTGCCCCAGGCACCCATGATAGGCGGCACAGTCAGGGTTGGAACTCAAGTCCCTCTGGCTCCAGAGCTTGCACTCTCAACCCTAGGCTAGAAATGTTTCTCCTAATGAGTAGGTGAAGATTTCAGCCCTTTTGGAGGCTGAGGCAAGGAGGATTGCTTGAGGCCAAGAGTTCAAGACCAGCCTGGGCAACACGGTGAGAACCCCATCTCTATAAAAAAATTTTTTTTAATTAAAAAAAAGGGTCGGGTGCAGTGGCTTACGCCTGTAATCCCAGCACGTTGGCAGGCCAAGGCAGGTGGATCACTTGAAGATCAGGAGTTTGAGACCAGCCTGGGCAACAAGGCAAAACCTCGTCTCTACTAAAAATACAAAAATTAGCTGGGCGTGGTGGTGTGCGCCTGTAATCCCAGCTACTTAGGAGGCTGAAGCAGGAGAATTGTTTGAACCCGGGAGGCAGAGGTTGCAGTGAGCCCAGATCGTGCCACTGCACTCCAGCCTGGGCAGCAGAGCGAAACTCTGTCTCAAAACAAAAAAAACCAAAGGTGTGGTTTTGAACCTGTTAGGGTTGAATATGGAGAGTGGGGGCATAAGCCCCTTTAGAAAATTGCGGTGAATCGTGGCTCCTCTCCAGAAATACGCATAAAACTTGGTGTACAGGTTAAGGGGGTTCAGAGGCTCCTTGGAGCCTACGTGACACTCACCAGGCTGGCCCAGGGGCTTCGTGAGTGAAGGAGGGAGGGAGGAAGAGGACAATCTGGGCAGAGGACAGTCGGAAGCTCTGGAGACAGGAAAGGGGCCCTGGACACAGAATGAATACACTATGCCAGTGAGCAGATGCTCGCAAACACACAGTGCCTGCACACGCAAATGCACGCACACACATGCACACACAGGCACACAGGAGCAAATATGCATGGCAGTGAGCACGTACACACAGACACACACAGGCATATGTACACACAATGCATGGACACACATGTTCATGCATATGCACACAGATCCACACAAACACACAGATACACGCACACACATGCACACACAGGCACACAGGGCAAATACGCACTGCAGTGAGCACGTGCACACACACATAGGCATATGTACACACAACGCATGGACACACGGGCCTCCGTGTGCACACACAGATCCACATAAACACAGAGCTCCATACATGCACACAAACGCACACAGACAGGCTAAGGCAAATCCAGCAGGACACTTAATCACAGAAATGACCGTCCTCCCTGCACACAAGTCCATACCTGCAGATACAGGACTCTGTGCCCTCACACATTCACATACACACACTCATCGGCTCTGTCACATGGACATAGACAGACCAAAGCAGGCCCAGAGGGGCACACAGTCACAGTCAAACCTTCTCCCTGCAAATGCGTTCACACTTGCACACACACTGACACACCTGCACATGCACACACACACGCATGCCCTCTCGCATGGACGCATATAGGCTGAAGCTGTGATCTCTGGGCATGTCCACACACGGCCCCACAGTGCTCTCATTCATGTACATCCATGCACATGCAGGCACATGTGTACACACACACACACTTCTCACATGTACACAAACAGGTGAAGGCAGGCCCAGCAGGGTACTGTTGGCCATCTTCTCACACATATCTATACAGGCACGCACAGAGCCATCTGCCCTCACACACACACACGTGGACAACAGCCCTCACATGCCCAGCCCCCAGACTAGGCCGGGAGAGGTGGGCCTGTGATGGTCCACAATGGCCAGAGCTGTCCTTCTTTTTACCAGGGAGGAGCTAGAGAAAAAAAACAGTATTTTTCCTTCTTCTTCCTTAATTAAAATCTCTACCATTGGTGCTTGCCTGTAGTCACAGCTACTTGGGAGGCTGAGATGAGGATCGTTTCAGCTCAGGAGTTTGAGGCTGTAATGAGCTATATTCACGCCACTGCACTACAGCCTGGGCAATAGAGTGACACTTTGTCTCTTAAAAAAAATTGTTGGCCGGGCGCAGTGGCTCAAGCCTGTAATCGCAACACTTTGGGAGGCTGAGGCAGGTGGATCACCTGAGGTCGGGAGTTCGAGACCAGCCTGACCAACATGGAGAAACCCCATCTCTACTAAAAATACAAAATTAGCCAGGCATGGTGGTGCATGCCTGTAATACCAGGCAGGAGAATCGCTTAAACCCAGGAGGCAGAGATTGCGGTGAGCCAAGATCGCGCCATTGCACTCCAGCCTGGGCAACAGGAGCAAAACTCCGTCTCAAAAAAAAAAAAAAAAAAAATTTGCCATGTGGGTCCCTGCCTGGTTGCCATAATCTGGACTGTGCTTGAATCCTCTCCTTAGGAGACATGGAGCTGGTGGCCGGCTAGCCAGACCTTTTGGACAGGAGAGGACACTCATGCCATGTGGAGTTCAGGTTTAGTCCCTTGCCCCCTCCACCTGGGGATCACTAATAATTACCCCATCCCCCACCTTGAGGACCCCAGCCCCAGGACTCCTAGCATCAGCCCGAGCTCCTCCACAGGGTCCCAGCCTGGCCCTGCCACCCTCCTGCACCTCTATCCACCTTCCAGGGGTAGCAGGAGGCTCTTTCTAAAGTGCAGACCTAATGTTGCCACCACCCACTGTGGAGTCCGCAGCCCACCATGACTCCCTATAGCCCTGCAAGCGCTGCCCTTCACTTCTTATTCTGCTCACCTCTCCTGCACACTCATGCAGCCCCTCCTCCCACCTCTGATCTTAGCATATGAAGATCCCTCTGCCTGGAAAGCCCCTCCCTCTTGCTCCAGCCAACTCTTATTCATCCTTTGGGTCTCAGCCCTCAGGCCCAGGCAGGGGTTGGGCACCACCCATTAGCCACTCACAATAGCCCTGGGCTTTACTCACTCACGCAGGTGCTGGAGGAGGGCATGAGCTGGGACCAAGTTTGTGTAGGGCTCAGCCTGAGGACGCTCAGCGATGTTTGTTGAATGACTGAATGATGGAGAACAGGCAGCAGCTCCGGCCAGAGGAGCTGGGACCCGAGGTTTCCACAGATGAAGGGACCCATCCCCATGTGCTCCATCCCTGCAGCCCCTGGGGGCTTCCTTCCCTGGGGTGTGGTCATTGATAAGCTGCCCAAGAGCTGGATGAGGCTGGGCAGTGGGGTTGGTGAGGGCAGGGGCTGGGAAGAGGCGGCACTTCCCTCCTGGGCCCAACACTTCTGCCCACTCAGCACCTCCAGGCCCCCAGAGGCCTCCAGGAGGGGAGAAACAGGCCAGACCAGCTCAGCCTGGCACCGGCCACTCCCACAAAGGCCCCCCACCTACACCCACACTCCACCCCCTGCCACGAGGGGCCCAGGGGACTTTGTCTCTGTAGGGCCCAGGGCTGCGATCCGGAACAGTGATAGGGGCTAATTGCAGGAGGCAGCCAAGCGGGCCCGGGGCCAAGGGCTGTGATGAAAAGGAGAAGAAAGAAAGGACCGGGCGGGCAGGGGTGGTATGATGAGAGCCAGAGCCCCGCAGTAGGGGCGAAGTTCCAGTCCTGGCTCTGCTGCTTCCTACATCGGTGACCTTGGACAAGGCCCTGACCCTCTCTGGACCTCATTTTGTCCATCTGCAAATGGGGACAGCAGAATTTCCTCCAGCGGGGGAAGCTTCACTCAAATCCCTTAGCACAGCGCTAACAGCTATTGTTCATTCCTGTTCCGGGACTGAGGGGCTCAGGCCCAGACATGGGCCCCACACCCAGCAGCTTGGTCCAGGGGCTTCCCTGGGGATTGGGGACACCAGCACAGTACCTTCTTCACAAGGTCTTCCCCTTGGAATAGGGATTATCAGGTTCTGCATTTTACAGAGGGGGAAACAGGCTCCAAGAGAAAGCACCTACCCAGGTCACCCCTGTGGGCATCAGCTGGGATTGCAGCCCCCTAGACAGAGGCTGGGGCAGATCCCCTCCATTTTAGAGCCCTCCATTCTCCCTGATCCTAGGATTTGCCGGAAGGAAGCCGGTGCTGCAGGGGCGAGAGATCTGGGCTGGTGAAGGCTTGAACCCTCAGCTGAAACGCTGAGATGAGTGGTTAAAGGAAGCAGACTCCAGGCTTAGAAGGACCTCAGCGGGGCAGGAAGCAGCCCCAGGGGCAGGGGCAAGCCAAGGCAGCTCTGCATAGCCCTTGGGCACCCTGGTTCCGGGGGTCTCCAAGTGTCACCACCTTCCTGGGGCAAGGGGCGGCCCCCTGGATGCCTTCCCAGGCCACCCCCTCCCCAGGACAAAGCCTCTTTTCTGCGTCTGGTCCCTTGGCTGCCAAGGGGTGCCTGGGGTGCTGGGGTGTGGGTGGCAGGAAGGCTGACAGGGCATGACACCCCCATGCTGTCTCCAGCAACGTGGGGATGGGGCCACAAGTGGAGGTTCTGGTAGCCCACAGACTCCTCAAGCTCCAGGTCCCTACCCCCATGTGACATGATTGATAGCAGGAACCACTGCAGGTGAGGCCCGGTGCTGGTCCTTCCCACGAGGAAAGAAGGAAACTGAGAGCAAAACTGAGACCCATGGCCAGGAAGTGACCCACTTGAGGTCACACATCAAGCCTGTAAGAGCAAGGAATTCTGTCTCCATTCTGTCCAAGGCTGGAGCCCCTAACTCCTAATCATGACTGCAAACCTTTCCTGGTGCCCCCAAGCCGACAACCTCTTTCCCTCTTCCAGCAAGGCTGCTGGAGAGAAAAAGCCACTGGATTTGGAAATCGACTGGTCTGGACTGAGGTGCCACTTGTCCTCTGTAGGCCTCAGCCTCCGTATCTGTACAATGGGTGCAATAGTGTTGCCCACAGGGTTTTTGGGATGCTCAGGCTACTGTGATAGGCTTCTGTCAACACATGGAGTGACAGTCCCCAGTGACCACCAGATACCTGGTTATAGCCATCATCCTGTTCCCACCCAGGAGACCCTGGGAGGTGAGGAGCCCAGGCTGGGAAGCCCTGCCTTGAACTGGCTGCAGGGCGGTCTGGGCCTTAAGCTGTCGCCACCATCATCCTGAGCCTAACAGTGGGATTTCTGAGTTCATAGTCTCTGTCCTCTTAGCATCTGGGATCCTGGCGGCTCACTTCCATGCTCTGGGCAGGTCATGTTCCCTCTCTGAGCCTCATCTTCCTCCTCTATGAAACAGAATCATAAAGAGCATACCTCCAAGCAGCTGGGAGGATTCTGGAGCTGATGAATGCAGGTAACGGAGCCGACTCAGGCTAACTGTTGTCTGCACACAATAGGTGGTGGCTGTAACATCTGCCACACGTCCACCCCTGTCTCAGACAACTGCTCTTCTGGCCTCTGATGCTTCAACCACCTCCGTCCTCCAGCCCTGCCCATGTCAACTGCTCTTGCTAGCCCAGCAGGGGCATGCTGGCCCCTGACCACTGGGAAAGGAGAATTTCTGAAAAGAATTAAAGAATTGAGGCCGTAGGGGGTGGGGGCCGCGCAGGCCTTTGAATGGGATGAAAAGGCCTGGAGAGGCCTGGCTACTCCACATTGTCTGCCTTGGACAACGGCGGCTGGCCTTTAGGAGGGGACCCTCGCTGGGGCTGCAGCCAGGACAGAGGCCAGGACAGGTTCAAACACTGTCATCAAGGATAGAAGGGCAGATTTGCAACCTAGCTCTTCAGTGAATAGCCCATGAGGCTAAAAGATGATGCCAATTCCCTAGGGTCTCAGTTTGCTTAACCGTTGAATGGGGACAGTTTTCCCTACCTCATTCGGTCCTTCAAGGATTGATGAGGACACTATATATAATAATGGGCCCCACCATGTCAGGTTCTGGGAGCTCCTCCGTAAAGGCCAGCAGGGAGGAGGTTCCCCGCCGCTAGGAGAGCAGAAGGAAGACTGTGCTCCCTCTTTTCTCTGTCCAAAATGCCAGGTCCCTGGGGTATCTCCGACACTGACCCACTGGGCTGTGAGACTCCACCCCAGTCCCTCCTCCGAGGGAGATAAATAGCCTGGGTACAAAACAAACAAACAAAAAACAAAACAAAGCAAAAAAACAGGAACAGGGAAAAGGGGAGAGAGGGTCCGAGAAGAGTCGGCTAGGGGGTGTCATAGGCCTTTCCCAAGTGCAGGGGGAGGGGCCCTAGGGACAGGGGAACAGAAGGGCCAGGGCTTCGCCCTCGTTGCGCCCCTTCCCCCTCCTCTCGAGCTCCTGGGTTGAAAGGGAGGGAGTAGGGGAGGCAGCCAGCTCCGACACATGGAGTAGGGGACCCCGCACTCGCGGGAGCCTCAGCCGGACCGCGGGATGGCCGTGTCCCTGCCCTCACCCGGGCTGGGGACTGGATCGCCCTCCAATCCCAGCCCTTCCTGGAGGTGGGGGCGTGTGCGCGCCGGGACCCTCGGCCAGCGGGGTGCAAAGGCGCCGGGAGCTCTTACCTGCGTCCGGAGAACGGAGCTGCCCCGATGCTCCACGCAGCGCCGCCTCCCGGGAGCAGGAGCCCGAGGCAGAGCAGCGCCCAAGCCCGCGGGCCGCCCATGCTGCACCAGGCGCCCTCCGCGCGCGGCCCCTCGCGGTCGCCGCCCCCAGCCTGTCCTCCCCGCCTGCCTGCCCGCGCCGCCAGCCGCCCCGGACGCGCGGAGCCCGGTTTCCAGCTCCGCGGCCGGAGGGCGGGCAGGAGGCGGGCGGGCGGGGGCGGGGGCGCGCGCTCCCGGCCTCGCCCGGCCCCTCTGCGCTGCCCCCCGCCCCCTGCGCCGCCGCTGCCAACCCGGAAGGAGCCCGGAGGGGCCCGGGCGGCCAGGGCGCCCCCGCCAGGAGGCCCGCCAGGTGTCCACCTGAGCCCCACGCCCTGCGCCGCGGGGCCCTTTTGGGGGCGGGGTGCCAGCTCCGAGGTGTCCTCCCACGGGCTGTAGACTGGGAAACTGAGGCCCGGGCCACGGTCCCAGACGCAGCCGGGACCCGAACCCACCTCACCTGAGCGAATGATATCCGGGACTCATCCTTTTTCGACACCTTTGCGGGATCCAGCCCTCCAAGGAAAGCTTCCTGAGCAGTGCGCGCCACGTGTATTGGGCACCTCACCGCGGCCACTTCACATCCTATCTCAGGTGACTCTTCAAGCCACTCTGCTCGAACTGGGCACAATATCCCCATTTTACAGAAGAGAAAACTGAGGCCCAGGCACTCGCAGTCTCCCTAGGAGGAGATCTGGGCTGACCCCATAAGTGCAGAGTCTGTTCTTATTCTCATTTTACAGGTGGAGAAACTAAGCCACAGAAAGGAGCTGTCATTTACCTAAAGCACCGTGGCAGGGGTTTGGCAGAGCCAGGATTTGTACCCAGATCGCCTGACTTCGGAGAGTAACAGCTCTTAACCACAGCACTTCGGTCTATGCCTTGATTTCACCATATGTAACAAGGTAAGAATTGGTGTTGGGTGGTTTCATCTGGGGTACATGGATGGGCTTCTGGAGGAATGGCTCTACATCCCACAAAGGTATATGTAAGCGTAGTGTGTGTGTGCAGGGGTGCATGTGTGTGTCGTATGTGTGTATGATGGATGTGTGTGCATGCTTGATGTGGATTTATGTGCATGTGTGTTATGTGTGTGTCTGTGATAGGAGTGTGTGTTTATAGGGAGAGACCAGAGCTCTCATCAGAGGGGACCCAGACCCCCAATCTCCCAGGGCAGTCTCTAACCCCGCCTTCTGCCTGGATCGATGGGCAGTAGTTAGGCCTGGGCTGGGGAAGCCCTTGCCCAGCTTGGCTACTTCCTGTTATGGCTTGTCCAGACCCACGGTCCCTTCTAGAAACACTCCCCAGAAAGGATCTGCCAGTCACTGGATTGCCCCTCCTGGACTCACCAGGGGCAGGCAGCATAGGCCACCATAGGCAGGCAGGCAGGCAGGACGGGGGATCCATCACCAGTGTGTCCACATAGAGAAAGCTGTTGCCCTGTCCCAAGGGACAGGTAGTGAGAGCTGGGTTCAAACCCTGCCTCTGCTACTTCTGCTCCAGTTAGCTCAGGCAAGTCTTGCCCCTCTCGCAGCCTCAGTGTTTCTTTTGCAGGGAGGACAGTTGTACATTCGTTACAGGAGTGTGGGAAGGATTGAGATATCATGGTAATGGCCTGTCACCCACTCTCCCCTACTTCACATAGTCCCCCAAGGGCTCCCTCTCCCTCCAGCGACATCACCATGGTGCCAATGTTGCCCCCTTGGGGAGCTGTTGCCCTCCTTTTCACGTGAAATTTTGGCACATCTCCTGTGCCATCTCTCTGACCTCCAAGAAATGCAGCTTTGTACCTCTCTGGTTAGCCCTTGTTTTTGACACAGCTAGATCAGTGACTTAACACCCTGGATAATTCGTCACTCCTGAGGAGCCATGCCCCCAAGAGGATGCCAGGCCTGTCTGAAACCCCAATCAAGCGGCCCAGATAAAAACCCATCACCCCAGGGGTGCTTTGAGCTGTTTAGGAAGCTCAAACATGCAGCTGTTTAGGAAGGAGAAGCACTGGATAATGCCTTGGAGGGACTGAGAGGTGTCTAGGGTGTCAGATGGGTGCCACAGAATGAGGAGGCACTACTAGGTCTGTTTGCAACATGTCTGAGATGCTCCTGCGATTAATGGCATCCACATTTCTTAAC
The DNA here is from genome assembly GCF_000001405.40 of Homo sapiens. Taxonomy (NCBI): domain Eukaryota; kingdom Metazoa; phylum Chordata; class Mammalia; order Primates; family Hominidae; genus Homo; species Homo sapiens. The sequence continues at coordinate 29,203,932 of NC_000022.11, read as the reverse complement.
CAATGCCATCAAACTTGTGGCAGACTCAGGCCGCTGCAGAATTTCCCCAGCAAGAGACTCTCCTGGTAAAAGCTGTTATCAACATTTTCACATCAGAGAGGGGCCTGTCCTTACTGAGGCTGGGATTCCCGGGTCCAGGGTATTTATTTATCACTGTAGACCCGGATAAATAAATATAGATTTATTTATCACTATTTATCACCTTGTGGCTGTGTGGCCTGATGGATACACCCCACAAGCCATGTGACCCATAGGCCAGGGTGTCAATTCCAGAGCAACCTCTGGGAGCTGTGTGACCCAAGACAAGTCACTTCCCCTCTCTGAGCTTCATTTCTTTGCCTGAAAAAACAAGCCATGGGATCTTCTTTTTTTTTTTTTTTTTTTTTTTTTGAGACAGGGTCTCACACTGTCACCCAGGCTGGAGTGCAGTGGTGCCATTTCCGCTCACTGCAGCCTCAACCTCCTGGGCTCAAGCGATTCTCCTGCCTCAGCCTCCTGATTAGCTAGGACTACAGGTGTATGACAGCACATCTGGCTCATTTTTAATATTTTTTGTAGACACAGGGTCTTGCTCTGTTGCTCAGGCTGGTCTCGAACTCCTGGCTTCAAGCAACCCTCCCACATAGGACTTTTAAGGTCCCTCTGGCTCAAGAGTCTGAGCTTCTGGGAAAGTGTGAAAACGTCAGGTCTCCCCTTCAGTGGCCCTGGGGCACAGCTGAAGCCCCCGTTTAAGGGCTCACTTTCCTGTTGGATGACAGCCGGCTTTCTGGTCCTCTTTCCTAGTTGAGTGGAAAGGCAGGAAATGCCGTGGGGGCCTGGGGTTTTGATTATTTGAGGTTTCAATGTTTGCTGAAACTGAGAGGAGAGGGGCCGGCTAGCTTGAGGTCTCAGGGCCTGTCCCTGCGGGCGGGGCCTCCCCCCTGGGGGCCTGGTCCTTTCCACTGCCAAGACGAGACCACAACCGCCAGTAACGACAGCAGCTTCCGTTCCCCATGCTGACTGTGCGCCAGGCGCTGTGCTAAGCGTTTTGCTTGTATTGTCTGCTGCGATCCTCTCTGCCACCCAGGAGGAAGCCTTATTGTCCCCAGGTGTGGGGCTCACGGCTAGTGAGTGATGGGCAGCTGTCTATGAGTTTACCCACCAGACCACACTGCCACCCACTGGCTGAGCCCTGAAGCAGGTCTTCTTTGGGGTAAGAGATAACTTGGCTCACATTTGGAGTCCCATCTTGGGGCTGATGAGGCCAGAGAGAATGTGTGGACACATACCCAGACCTGGACCCACACCCAGATGGACCACACAGGGACACACACAGACACCCTCCCAGGGCAGGCCATGGGATCCGGGAAACACAGCCCCTCTGGGGCAGATTCACTGACGCATCCACCCTGGCCTAGTCCAAACAGGAAATGTTTTATCCTCTTAACAAACAACCTGGGCGGCAGCCTCCTTCCCCTGTGAAGTCTCTGGGGGCCGTAGCTAAGGGACTCTTTCCTCCCGCTGTGTCCTACAGGACTGTCTCTCCAGCTTGGGTGTGCCCCGTCATATCAGCCCTGTGCACACATTAGCTCGTGTGAGCCCAGGCACTCTTCCCATATCGTGCCTGTTCCATAGGTGAGGAAGCAGCCCAAGGGGTGCCCAGAGCCCATGGCCGCAGCCCCCAGGGGCCCAGGCCTAATTGCCAAGCAGTGCCTGGACACCATGAAAGGGAAGGGACCGTGTAAGCCACAGCCTTAAAAGCTGCTGACCAGACAAAGGACAGGGCCCAAGAGCAATGGCTGCTCTCTGCACTTTTGATCAGGGGGTTTGGCCCTCCTGTCCCTGGCTCTCAGAGATGGAAGCACCCTGCAGGGCCAGGGTCGGGGCGCTGGGAGACCTAGGCAGCCTGCAGCTGCCCAGCCGAGTTATTTATGCTCCATGGAGCTGCCCTTCTCATTCACCCAGCTCATTCTTTCCCCAGAGAGCTGGGACTGGGGCTGGAAGGGAGTAGTGGGAGGAAGGAAGCTGTCAGAAAATCATAAATTAGGGCTTGGGAGGGCCTTCCTGTCCTCTGGAATCTCCCGTTTTGCATCTTTGAGGGGGGTACAGGGGGACGACAACAGAATGACAGGGCCGGACATAAGCGAGCATGGCAGGACAGGGTACCTCTTGTTGGAGTGAGGAGACCTGGATGTTCTATGTGATCTAGAGAGTCCCTTCTCTCCGAGCTTCGGTTTCTGCATCTGGAAAATGGGGGTGTGAGGACTCGGGGACTTTCCTGCAACTGTGCTTTGTTGACTGCAGGAATGGACAAATGAGAGGCTTTCTCCTTAGCAACGTTTGTTCCCCCTTCCCCTCCTCTGGCAATTTCTCCTAAATCCTCCCCTTTCTGACCCCCCACCTCTGCCCTACTTGCCTTCTCTCAGGTCCCTTCCTCTGCTTCTCTTTCATCTCCTCTTGCAAAAATGGATGAACAGTATCTCCATATGCAGCATCCACCCAACTAGGGGGTAGAGGGAAGAGCTCTTGGCTCATTCCTACTAGAGTGTGAATGACTGATGTGTTTAATGTTTAATGTTGGGAGGAGGGGGAGTTAACAGGGCTTCCTGCCATTTAAACCCTAAATCGTTGGTAGTGGAACTTCTAGGCTGGTGAGGGAAATGTTTGGTGACCACAGCCTAGGAACGTGGCCTAAGACCTTCTGTATGGGAAGCTGTCCATCTCCCACCCCAGCGAGGTGAAGCCCACTCCCGGCTGGATGCATCTGAAGTGGCAGCTGTGAGTCCATGTGGTTGGACGGATCTGGCAGGAGGGAAGGGCAGACCAGAGAAGCCCCTCAGAGCAGAGGCCCTGGAGCAGCCCACCAGCCCTGCCAGTCCCGGGTGGCACCTGCCGGGTCATGAGCATGTGGGCCCGCCCCACCTGACAGCTCCAGGATGAATGGGGAGGTAGTGGTGGTGCTGAGAAGCAGGAGGAGAATGAGAGTGGTGGGGACAGAGGAGAAGTCAGAGACAGAGACAGAGAGATATAGTGAGTGACTCTCAGGAGAGTGTGCCAGGTAGCCAGAGAGAGAGGGAGACAAAGTGATCTAGAGAGATGTCTTCATCTTTCATAGAAGGAGACAGATGGAAAGACAGAGAGACAGAAAAAGAGACAGACAGACTTAGAAAGAGGGACTCTTTTGGAAGAGGGTCCTAGGTGGTTGGTCTCGGCTCCCATAGGAGCCTGGCAGAGGGGGCAGGACCGGGGCACCACCCCCCCACCATCCTGAGCCTCATTTGTTCTCAGCACCTCACAGACTCTGGCCTCCCTCAGACCCCCATCCCATGCCAAGGGTGGGAAGCCTCTCCTTCCTCCATCACCCACCCATGCATCTGGTAATGGCTGCCTGTGGGCTCTGGGCTGCTTGGGGCTGGAATACATCATGCTTGGGAAGCCCCATTAGACAGAGCCCTTGGGCCCAGGGGGAATGGATTCCTCACCTGAGGCTTGGTCCTGGGAGTCTTAGGTGGATGGACAGCTATATAGGGGGAGGGGGACCTGACTATAGATTGTCCCTGCCCCACCATCCGGTCAGCCTTGCAGGGCTAAGTCTGGGTCCTCTTTCCCTGTGTCCATTCCTTGGCTCCATCCCATCCAGCCTCCACCCCCTTATGGGATGTGGCATCGGTCTCCTCGATGGCCTCTTGTCTCCTCTGATACTTTCAGTCCTGCAGAATCTTCCCAAAGGCAAATGGAGCCAAGCAACCCTGCGAAGAAAACCTTCCAGTCTCCCTGTCCCCCTCAGGCTGAGAACTGAAGGTGGCCCAGCTTGCTTGTCCTCCCACTGTCCCCAGACCCTGGGACAGACCCCCACACCCAGGGTGGGCTAGGGGATGTCTCAGTTCCCTAGCCCATCCTGTGCTCTCCGTCTGTCTGCGGGTTTTCCTGCCCTGTCCCTCTGCCTGCCAATACCCACTCACCCTGCCTGAGCTCACCATCCAGTCTCAGCTCAGACATCACCCCCACTCCACCCCTAGAAGGATGTTTCACACCCCCAACACTGGGTCATGTGTCCACTGGGGTTCACCACTCACAGCGTTCTGGGCTGGGGACATCTGTTGATTTGTGTGGTTCCCCTGATGGATCATAAATAGGCACAGATGCTGAGCCCTTTTTATAACCTTTCTAAGAGTTCTAGGGCACATACAACTCCAGAAGCTGTACAAGATACATCTGGGTGCGTAACAATTTCTGTTTTTGTTGTTGTTGTTGTTTTTGAGACAAAGTCTTTCTCTGTCACCCAGGTTGGAGTGCTGGAGGACAGTGGCATAATCTTGGCTCACTGCAACCTCCACCTCCTGGGTTCAAGCGATTCTCCTGACTCAGCCTCCTGAGTAGCTGGGATTACAGACATGCATGACCACGCCTGGCTAATTTTTGTATTTTTAGTAGAGACAGGGTTTCGCCATGTTGGCCAGGCCAGTCTTGAACTCCTGACCTCAGGTGATTCACCCACCTCGGCTTACCAAAGTGCTGGGATTACACTGTGAGCCACTGTGCCAGGCCACAATTTCTGTATAGAACAAAAACACAGCTGACTCTTGAACAACATGGGTTTAAACTGATGGATCCCTTTATATGCGGATTTTCTTCAGCCCCGTCACCCCTGAGATAGCAAGACCACCCACTCCTCTTCCTCTTCCTCCTCCTCAGCCTACTCATCATGAAGACAAGGATGAAGACCTTTATGATGATCCACTTCCACTTAATAAATAGCAAATATATTTTTTCTTCTTTATGATTTTCTTAATAACATTCTTTTTAAAATTTTTTTTTCATATTTTTAAGAGTTGGGGTCTCGCTATGTTGCCCAGGCTGGTCTTGAACTCCTGGACTCAAATGATCCTTCCACCTCAGCCTCCCAAAGTGCTAGGATTACAGGCAGGAGCCACCACACCTACCCACATTTTCTTTCCTCTAGCCTACTTTATTGTGAGAATACAGTATATAATAACATATAAAATATGTGTTAATTTTTTTTTTTTTTGAGATAGAGTTTCACTCTTGTTGCCCCAGCTGGAGTGTAATGGCGTGATCTTGGCTCACTGCAACTTCTGCCTCCCAGGTTCAAGCAATTCTCCTGCCTCAGCCTCCCAAGTAGCTGGGATTACAGGCATGTGCCACCACACCCAGCTAATTTTGTATTTTTAGTAGAGACAGGGTTTCTCCATGTTGGTCAGGCTGATCTTGAACTCCCGACCTCAGGTGATCCACCTGCCTCGGCCTCCCAAAGTGCTGGGATTACAGGTGTGAGCCACAGCGCCCAGCCTTATGGACTGTTTATGTGATCAGTAAGCTCCCGGTCAGCAGTACGCTGTTAGTGGTAAAGTTTTTCGGGAGTCAAAAGTTATGTGCACATTTTTGAGTGTGCATGAGGGGGATCAGTGCCTTAATCCCCATATTGTTCAAATGCCAACTGTAATATGATTAATTGTGGAAATTTTTGCAATGTCTAAATTAGATAAAAAGGCTAATTTTCTCCACATATAAAGAGCTTTTACAAATCAATAACATTTGATCAATGACTTAATAAATGAATAAAATTTGTGAACAGACGACTAACTCAGAATGAAAAGGCTTCACTCAAAAGAAAAGCAATGTGCTTACGTGTGGTGGCTCACACTTATGATCCCAGCACTTTGGCAGGCCATGGCAGGATGATTACTTGAGACCAGGAGTTCAAGACCAGCCTGGGCAAGATAGCAAGACCCCTATCTCTACAAAAAATTTAAAAATTAGCTGGTTGTGATGGTGCACACCTGAGCAAGATCGTTTCTTAAAAAAAAGAAGAAGAAGAAAGAGTAAGAGAAAAAAAAAGAATTCAAATGAAAATCACAATGCAAAGCTGATGGTAAGGACTTAACATTTTTGATAAAATGGGTTGGCAAGGGTATGGGGAAAATGTCGCCTTCGTATGTGCCCTCTTTGGAGCACAGTTGGTAAATATATAAAACTGAAAGATGTATACCCTTTTGACCCAGCAATTTTACATCGAGGAAGTTTCTTACAGGTATATTTGCAAAGAACACAAGGAAATTAACTGCAGCAATATCTGCAGTAGCAAAAGACTGGAAGCAACCTAAACGCCCATTGCAGGAGATGGGTGAATTAAGGTACATCAGCCTGGGCAACATAGCGAGATCCCATCTCTACAAAAAATACAAAAATTAGCTGGGCATGGTGGCACGTGCCTGTAGTCCCAGCTACTCGGGGGGCTGAGGTGGGAGGATTGCTTGAGCCCAGGCGGTCGGGGCTGCAGTGAGCTATGATTGCAACACTGCACTCCAGCCTGAGTGACAGAGTGAGACTACTGTCTAATAAAAAAAAAAAAAATTAAATACATCCATCAGTGGAATACTACATTGCTGTTAAAAAGAAAGAGGGGCTAAACAAAATGTAGTATATGTGTACAATAGAATATTCACCATAAATAAAGGAACAAAGCACTGATACAAAGCTACAACATGGAGGAAACTTGGAAACATTACGTGAAGTGAAAGAAGCCAGACATGAAAGGCCATATATTGTATTTATAAGAGAAACCCACACTAGGCAAATCCATAGACACAGAAGACAGATTAGCGGTTGCCAGGGACTGAGGGCAAGGGATGCGGGGGTGTCCACTCATGGGTGTGGGATTTCTTTTTAGGGTGATGAAAGTGTCCTGCAATCAGGTAGTGGTGACAGTTGCACAGCTCTGACTATACTAAAAACCACTGAATTGTACACATTAAAGGGTAAATGTTTTGACATGTGAATTATATGTACATAAAGATGAGGCAGAGCTAAGTGTTTTGATATGGAACTAGTTTCCAAGATCACCTGTTAAATGAAGAAAGTTAGTATAGCTGTAAGTAAAGGATGCTGCCATTTAGGGGAAAATTGCAGGAATATATACTCATCAATATTAATATTTGAATTATGCATTCACTTTCTCTGGAAGGATTCACAAGAAACTGACTGCCTTCAGAAAGGTGAACTGAGGGACCGAGGGTGTTAGGTTTGTTTTTTTTTTTTCTTCTTGAGTTGAAGTCTTGCTCTGTCACCCAGGCTGGACTGCAGTGGCACAATCTCGGCTCACTGCAACCTCTGTCTCCCAAGTTCAAGCAATTCTCCTGCCTCAGCCTCCTGAGTAGCTGGGACTACAGGGGCACGCCACTGTGCCGGGCTAATTTTTGTATTTTTAGTAGAGACAGGGTTTCACCATGTTGACCAGGCTGGTCTCCAAATCCTGACCTCAAGTGATCTGCCCACCTGGGCCTAAGGTATTAGTTTTCATTATGAATCCCTTTGCGCTGTTTGAAAAAAATTTAGCGCCAAAAAGTATGCATGGCATAGGCACCCTTTGCCCTAAAAATGAAGTGTGTGTCTATGTGTCTGTGTGTGTGTACCTGCATGTGTGTCTGTCTGTATATGTGTTTGTGTGTCTGTGTATATGTCTGTGTGTGTGTCTGTGTGTGTGTGTCTGTGTATCTGTGTGTGTGTGTGTGTGTCTGTGGTGTGTGTGTGTGGTTTGTTGTAAAACAGCAGCCCTTGCCATTCCAGGCTCCAGGAGCTGCTGTCTGCAGCCGGGGAGTGTTCCTGAGTGCTGTGTGGAGGTTTCCATGTAGGTTTCCACCTCCAGGAAGAAAGATGGGGCAGAGGAACCACAAGTGACAGGGCTGATTCAGGAGCTCCTCTGAATCGGGCCCCAGCCCCAGCCCCGGGAAGCTGTGAGGGTGGCTCCTAAGGGAGATGACCCCTCCGTGCTCTCCCAGGAGGGACCCAGTGTCCTTGTCCTCAGCAGGCATGGCCCAGGGCTCCCAGTTGCTCGGGACACACCTGAGTGGAGGCTATTCAGGGCGGTGAGTAGGGGAGATAGGGGCCTGACCAGAGGGAAGGGCCTGTCTCAGGAGGTGGGCTGGTGGGCAGCCAGGTTTCCCCCCACCCCCGGCCTGCCCTACGTCTGCAAGTTGGGGCCTCACAAAGCCAAAGTTGGCTGTGTCCTGTGTCCTCCCTTGACCCCTCGGAGGGAGGAAAAGGAAGAGAGGGGGAGGGAAAGACAGAAAGACAGACAGTAGTATAGGGAGACACACACACACACACACACACACACAGAAGGAGACAGTGTTAGAAACAGAGATAAAGGGGCGACCACTGACCTGCTTTCCACTTGTCAGCCTCGAGCCTTTATCTATGTGACTGCACGCATTATCACAGCTGCCCCCAGAGGAGGGATCTGGCACAGGAAAGGGAGGCCAGGGAGGGTGGCAAACTGTTGCACAGCTAGCAGCATCCATATTCAAACTCTGGCTGCAGAACCCTAGGGCAGTCACCAGCATAGTGCAGGTCCAGAATTGGCCCTGGGACCCTACACCGTCCCCTTTCCCTCCTGACAGGCAGCCCTTGGCCCATCTGGGCTGACTATGCCCAGCCCTGGTGGGACATTCCCAGGGGCACAGCTGACCTGGGACTCCTCTGGCAAGAGAAGGGTGGCCTGGTGTCAAAGAGGGGCCCAACATGGGGCTAACGTTGTGGGGCCTGTAGGCCCAGGTTGGCCAGGAAAATGTTTCAATCCTGCCTGTTCCTGAGTGAGACACTGAGTAACCTTGGCCAAATTGCTTCCCCTTTCTGAGCCTCAGTGTGTTCACCTGGAAAATGGGGATAGGGTACTTGTCTCAGGGCAAGTTGTTACGAGGAGCATCTAAATGAGGCACGTGGATTTCTTTGCCCAGTGCCTGGCACAGACTGATCAAGAAATAGTACATAGGTTATATCCAAAGCATGTTGCATGTAGACTGCAGAGTGAGGAATCTGAGCAGGCTGGGGATGCAAGGCTTGGGACAGCAAGAAGCAGCAAGAAGGGTCAGCCTTTGGCAAAGAGGACATTGGGAAAATAATCTGAGGTTTTCTTTTCTTTTTTTCTTTTTTTTTTTTTTTGAGACGGAGTCTCACTCTGTCACCCAGGCTGGAGTGCAGTGGTGCAATCTCGGCTCACTGCAACCTCTGCCTCTTGGGTTCAAGTGATTCTCCTGCCTCAGCCTCCTGAGTATCTGGGATTACAGGCACCCACCATTATGCCTAGCTAATTTTTGTATTTTTGTAGAGGCGGGGTTTTGCCAAGTTTGCCAGGCTGGTCACAAACTCCTGACCTCAAGTGATCCATCCACCTCGGCCTCCCAAAGTTCTGGGATAACAGGCGTGAGCCACCATGCCCAACCAGAATCTGAGGTTTTCTAAAGGCCCTTTGCTACCAACTGTCACCTGAAATGCTTCTATAAGCCAGTCTTAAAATCCCTAAAGCAAAGAAAACTCATGTTAAAATTCAAAACTCTTCTCTAGGAGGGATGTATTTACAGAAGACTAGACTGAATTATTCATTCATTTACTGCCCTTTTGTCTTGCTTTGGTCCTCTAAGTACTATGCCTGCAATTAGAAAGCTCCACCACTGGGAGGCATCTTAGTTTTGTGCCTGCACAGAGATGAGATTTCCGCCCCCACCCCCCCCCGCCCCACCCAACACACACCCTTCTGGATGCCAGCTCTGATCCACTCCTACAAGTTGCCTTTTAGAAGAACAAAAAGGGATAGAGAGGCTAGAGAGTCTTTAGATTAGTGGAGAAGAGTGCTGTAATCAGTTCACCATGTCTGTACTGGGTGAAGGAGTGGAAAGTAGATTCTGTGCCAGGCATTCTGCTACCTCTAGACTGTGCTTCTGAGTAGATAAGTATGTTTTTCTATTTCATAGTACTTTTTAGAATAAGTGGAACTCTTTTTAAAACACTTGAGCCTACATAATAGAACTATCAATCACTGTGTAAGGAGGGATGCTTGTACGAATCATTTTTGCAATAGAGAAAATATAATTTGAGATTGGATACTTACACAGAGAGATATTTTAAAAGGCAAACACTGGCCAGGGGGGTGGTGGCTCACACCTGTAATCCCAGCACTTTGGGAGGCTGAGATGGGAGGATCACTTGAGCTCAGGAGTTTGAGACCAGCCTGGGCAATGTAGCAAGACCCCAGCCCTAAAAAACATTTAAAATTGAGCCAGGCATGGTGGCCTGTAGTCCCAGCTACTGAGGCAGGAGGATCACTTGAGTCCAGTAGTTCGAGGTGACAGTGAGCCATGATCATACCACTGCACTCCAGCCTGGATGACAGAGCAGGACCTTGTCTTTATAATATAAAATAAAAAAAAATATATTTAGGTGCAGCCTTTCTTACTAATCATGAATGATCAAGAATTCCTGATTTTTTTTAACAATGATTTTAAAGAGAGAAACCTTTTATGCCTTTTCTTACCTGCTTTTTCCTATGTGCTCTAAGTCACTCTCATTCTTTTTTTTTTTTTTTTTTTGAGACGGAGTCTCGCTTTGTCGCCCAGGCTGGAGTGCAGTGGTGCGATCCCGGCTCACTGCAAGCTCTGCCTCCCGGGTTCACACCATTCTCCTGCCTCAGCCTCCCAAGTAGCTGGGACTACAGGCACCCACCACCATGCCCAGCTAACTTTTTTTTTTGTATTTTTAGCAGAGACCGGGTTTCACCGTGTTGGCCAGGGTTGTCTTGATCTCCTGACCTCGTGATCCGCCTGCCTTGGCCTCCCAAAGTGCTGGGATTACAAGCGTGAGCCACCGCACCTGGCCACTCTCATTCTTGCAGATGAGATGGTCATAGCTTCCCTTAGGTCTGCGGCTGTCTGCCTGCTCAGCCTCTGACTTGGTGAGCCAGTTATTGGAAGAAACTATAAAGGAGTGAGAAAGCTTTTTTGGCTGTACTCTTCTTAAGAATTGCTGAGTTTTATAAAATCATTCTTTTTCATCCATAATCCTAAGAGGCTTCGTAGAATCTTTTTTAGTAGTAAAATATTATAATAGCAATATAATATCATTAAAGCACTTTTTTTAAAAAGAAAATAAATCACCCATAATCCATCCATCTTAATAAAACGATTCCCCAGAGGTTTTTTTTTTTTTTTCCTTTGGAAGGTTTTTTTTTGGCCTTCTTTTTTGCCAAAGAAAGAGAGGTTCCAGCCCTTTGAATATCTTTCCCCATCCCCAGGGAGCTGAAAATCCTCCTTCTTTCTCTTACTCTTAGCTGCTTGGTCCTTTGAAGTCAAAGCTGGTTTTATGTCTAATCTGCACTGAATGGGTCATTACTGATGGGCACATGTGGGATCAGAGGGGCCTGACACAGGCTGCCTTCTGCACAGGGCAGGAGTTGTCATAGTTTCCTTCCACACGATTGCTGTGTCACATGCCGTGAACGTAAGCATTAGCAAACGCACATCTGCAGGGCGGGACACACCAGATATCTTTGGGGACATTATGGGTGTGTCAATATCTTTCAATATCTTTTTTTTTTTTTGAGACGGAGTCTCGCTCTGTCACCCAGGCTGGCGTGCAGTGGCGTGATCTTGGCTCACTGCAACCTCCGCCTCCTGGGTTCAAGCAATTCTCCCACTTCAGCCTCCCGAGTAGCTGGGATTACAGGTGCGCACCACCATGCCTGGCTAATTTTTGTATTTTTTTAGTAGAGATGGGGTTTCGCCATGTTGGCCAGGCTGGTCTCGAACTCCTGACCTCAGGTGATCTGCCCACCTCAGCCTCCCAAAGTGCTGGGATTACAGGCTTAAGCCACCATGCCCGGCCTCAATATCTTCTTTTTAAACATTTTTAATATTTTTATTTTTTTGAGACAGGGTCTTGCTTTTTTACCCAGGCTGGAGTGCAGTGGCACAATCTTGGCTCACTGCAGCCTTGACTTCCGAAGCTCAAGCGATCCTCCTGCCTCATCCTCAACTAGGACAACAGGTGTGCACCACCACACCTGGCTAACAAAAAAAAATTTTTGTTTTGTAGAGACGAGGTCTGCCTATGCTGCCCAGACTGGTCTTGAACTCCTGGGCTCAAGCGATCCTCCCACCTTAGCTACCAAAAGTGCTGGGATTACAGGCATGAGCCACTATGCCTGGCCTTGTACAGTATTTGAATTATGTGTCAATAAAGCCACACATACACATTCAAACAGAACAGATTCTAAAGGTGAGAAACATTTTCTGGTTTCCAATTTGTTACTTTGGTGATCTCTAACGAATCACTTTTGTAATTAAGTACACACGTGCTGGCTTTGGCGGCACATATACTAAAAATTGGAACAACACAGAGCAGATTAGCATGGCCCTTTAACAAACTGAAAGATACTTAAACATAAAAAGAAATTATACGTAAAAAAAGAACATATGTTATTTTTAATTTAAAAAACACATTCACTGGCTGGGCGTGGTGGCTCACACCTGTAATCCCAGCATTTTGCGAGGCCGAAGCAGGCGGGTCACCTGAGGTCAGGAGTTTGAGACCAGCCTGGCCAACATGGTGAAATCCCGTCTCTACTAAAATACAACAATTAGCCAGGCATGGTGGCCCGTGCCTGTAATCCCAGCTACTTGGGAGGCTGAGGCAGGACAATCACTCGAACTCAGGAGGCAGAGGTTGCAGTAAGCCAAGATCACACCACTGCACTCCAGACTGGGCGACAGAGTGAGGCCCTGTTAAAGAAAAAAAAGTTTTTAATAAAAGAATTTAATAAAACCACATTCACCACTCTTAGGTATCTAACCAAGAGAAATGGAAATAGGGTCACACAAAAACTTGCACCTGAGTGTTCACAGCAGCATTATCTGTAAGAACTAAAAAGCAGCAACGACCCAAATGCGCGTCGACAGATGAATTGAACAGACAACATGTGGTCCATCCACGCAATGGAATATTGTTTGGAAGGAATGAAGCGCTGACACATGCTGCAACATGCTTGACAGCATTATGCTCCGTGAAAGAAGCCAGCCGCAAAAGGCCACATGGTGTATGATTCCATTTACGTGAAATACCCAGAATAGGAAAATCTACAGAGACAGAAAGTGGTTGCCAGGAGCTGGTGGTGGGGTGGGGGCTGCAGGAGAATGGGGAATCACTGCAAATGGGTATATGGTTTTTTTTTTTTTAGACGGCATTTTGCTCTTGTTGCCCAGACTGGAGTGCAATGGCATGATCTTGGCTCACTGTAACCTCCACCTCCTGGGTTCTAGTGATTCTCCTGCCTCAGCCTCCCGAGTGCTGGGATTACACGTGCCCGCCACCACGCCCAGCTAATTTTTTTTTGAAATGGAGTCTCACTCTGTTGCCCAGGCTGGAGTGCAGTGGTGCAATCATAGCTCACTGCAGCCTGGAACTCCGGGTTGAAGTGATCCTCCTGCCTCAGCCTCCTGAGTAGCTGGGACTACAGGCACCTGCCACCACATCCAGCTAGTTTCTCAATTTTTTGTAGAGATGGGGCCTCTCTTTGTTGCCCAGGCTGGTCTTAAACTCCCGGCCTCATGTGATCTTTCTGCCTCGGTCTCCCAAAATGCTGGGATATCAGGTGTGAGCCACTGCACCTGGGCACTAAAAACTCTCAATTACAGCTACACAGACCCTTTTCCAAATAAGGGCACCTTCGCAGGTTCCTGGACATGGACCTATGTTTTGGTGGGGGCCACCATTCAACCCACTGCACCTCCCTACCCCAACCTCCATTGTTCAAGCTGGGTCACCCTGCCCTGGTCTCTAGGCGTCCTCGGTCTCCAGCCCTTGCAGCCAGAGGAGGCCAGACCCACGTACCCTGCTACTTGGAGTCTCACAGTGGCTCCCAGGGCATCTGGAAGCAGCTCACGCTTGACCTGCAAAGCTCCATTGCCCGGCCCTGCTGGCATCTCAGGCACCCTGTTCCCACCACACTGACCTTTTCCCCGGTTCCTAAAGGGCTCCAAGCTTTCTCTTGCCTCCAGAGTTCCTCCATGTTGATCTCCCTGTTCCTTCCACCCGGCACTCCTCCTCCAGGCTTCACCTGGGTGCCTTTTGCTTACCCGCAAGTCTCAGTTTAGGTGCCCTACCCCAACCCCAAACCTCTCTTCACAAACTGAGATGTTAGGGGCCCCTTGGGGGCTATAGCAGCAGGTTATAGTGGTGGGGTTCACCTGGATGCACTCTCTGGACTGGGAGCTCAGCCTGGGCAGGGCTACATAGCTCGTGTCTATCTTGCTCCCTGTAGAATGGCAGTGTTCTTTTTTTTTTTTTTTTTTTTTTGAGACGGAGTCTTGCTCTGTTGCCCAGGCTGGAGTGCAGTGGCACGATCTCGACTCTGCAACCTCTGCCTCCTGGGTTCAAGCAATTCTCCTGCCTCAGCCTCCTGAGTAGCTGGGACTACAGGCACACGCGAACATGCCCGACTAGAATGGCAGCGTTTCTGAGGGTGGGAGGAGGGCATAAGGGTCAGATGAGCCTGAATCTTACTCTTCACTTTCCACCTCTTCCCATCTTCCTTCCTCATAGTCTTGGGGAACACTTTTTTCTCACCTTTAAAAATAATTTTTTTTTTTTTTTCTAGAGACAAAGTCTTGCTCTGTCACCTAGGCTGGAGTGCAGCAGCATAACCATAGCTCACCACAGTCCTGTCTGCTGGGCTCAAGCAATCCTCCTGCCTCAGCCTCCTGGGTAGCTAGGACCACAGGCATGTGCCACCATGCCTGACTAATTTTTTTAAATCTCGTTTTTGTAGAGATGAAGTCTTGGTATGTTGCCCAGGCTGGTCTCGAACTCCTGGCCTCAAGGGATCCTCCCACCTTGGACTCTCAGAGTGTTGGGATTACAGGCATGAGCCACGTCACCTGGCCCTTTCTCACCTCTAAAATCTGAAGTTCTGTTTGAATGTGAAAAAAAGACAAGAAAAAAGAAAGGAGGGAGGGAGAAAAGGAGGGAGGGAGGCCTCCCCCTCACACACCTTTTCTGCCTGAATTCCCAGACGCTGTCTTTTACTCCCAACTGCAATCATTTGCACTTAATTCCTCCAACTTCAAGTTGTTTGGGGTCAAAGGAAGGAACACAGGATGGGAATGGGGAATGTGTTCAGGAATAGGAGGAGTTACAGAAACCTCAGGGCCTCTGCTCAGACAGGTGGTGGGATGAATCCCACAGATGGGAATAATCAGCCTTGAGTCTCTGAGCGAGTGACTCCTCCCAGGTGAGCCTCAATGGCTCACCTGTATAATGGGATGATAGCAGCCACCCTGCAGCTGAGGACTGGGGAGTTATGTTGAGTGCCCGGCACACAGCAAGCAAGCACTCAGTATGTGGTGGCAACAGGTAACAATTCATAAAACCGTAGAGACTATGTGAAATGCCATTTCAGTTTGCAAACATCTCCAATCCCCAGAATGTTCCCCACTGGCCTCCTGGGCAGCTGAGAAGAGTAACAGCATTGTGGGATGGTGTTATGGTTTGAATTATGTCCCCCCCACCACCCCAAAAGATGTTGAAGTCCTAACCCCTAGGATCCGTGAATGGGACCTTCTTTGGAAATGGGGAGTTTGCAGATGATATGTTGAGATGAGATCTCGAGGGTGGGCCCTAATCCAATGTGGCTGTGTCTTTATATAAAGGGGAAATGGGACACAGAGACAGACGCTCACAGAGGCAGATGATGTTAAGACACAGAGAGAAGATGGCCACCAACAAGCCAAAGAGCGCCGGAGGCTACCCGAAGCCAGGAGAGGGGCCTGGAACAGATTCTCCCTCTCAGCCTCAGAAGGAACCAGCCCTGCCCACACTTTGATTTCAGATTTCCAGCACCAAAATAGTGAGACAATAAGTGTCTGTTGTTTAAGCCAGGCAGGTTGTGGGGCTTTGTTGCAGAGGTGGGAATAAGACAAATCCACTGTCAGAGCAAAATGGGCCTTCTAGGGCCGGCAGGATCCCCCAAAGGCTCCAAGGAGATGGACTCGAGGCCAGTGCCAAGCCCCGCCAGCCCCCAGTCACTGCCCAGGCCCATGGCCAGGCCTGGCTGCTCCTCGGCCCCCCACTGCCCCAGCAGGAGGGCACCAGATGCTTCCAGGACAGAAATCTGGGATGCATTTGGAAATCCTGGCAGAGCGGTTTCAAGTTAGGCCCTGTCCTAACTGGGTGAACCGCCATCTGGATCCTGTTTGCTGGCCCCTGCCAGGAGAATCTGAGTGGGATTTTGGGGGAGCCGTCAGGGAAGGGGGCCACTCCCTCTGTGGCTGGGTGCAGTCAGCGGTCCTGGGTGGAATCCTGGCCCTGCCACTCGCTGGGTGACCTCAGGCTGCTCATGTCACCTCTCTCTCTTGGCCTTCTCACCTGAAAACTGAGGACAATCCCAGAATGCACCTTGAAATGTCGCCACCAGGATTTACTAGGATCATGAGAATAGCAGGCTGCTTAATGAAAGGGAACTTCAGATTTCTTTTCTTTTCTTTTTCTTTTTTTTTTTACAAATTCTGGTAACATAAATAATGTAAAATTGACTTTTTTTTTTTTTTTTTGAGACAGGGTCTCACTGTGTCACCCAGAGTGGAGTGCAGTGTGGTGATCATAGCTCAGTGCAGCCTTAACCTCCCCGGCCTCCAGGGTAGCTGGGGCTACAGGCATGTGCTACCATGCTTGGCTAATTTTTCTATTTTTTTGTTGAGATGGAGTTTCCATGTTGTCCAGGCTGGAAAACTGACCATTTTGCTTATTTTAACCAATTTAAAGCATTTTAAAGCATACAGTTCAGTACATTCACATTGTTGTGCAACTATCACCCCCGTCCAGAACTTCTTCATCTTCCGCAAATGAAACTGTATTGGTTCAACACTGACTCCTCATTCCCCCATCCCTCATTCTACTTGTCTCTACAATGTTGACGACTCTAAGTACCCCATTTAAGTGGAATTTTACCATTCTATTCATTACAAAATATAACAAAATTTACCTTTTTTTTTTTTTGGGAGACGGGGTCTCACTCTGTCACCCCTGCTGGAGTGCAGGGGTGTGATCATATCTCACTGCCACCTCGATCTCCTGGGTTCAAGCGATCCTCCCACCTCAGCCTCCCACGTAGCTGGGACTATGGGCATGCACCACCATAAACAGCGTATCTTTTTGTAGAGACGGGGTTTCGCTTTGTTGGCCAGGATGGTCTCGAACTTCTGGGCTCAAGCCATTCCCCCACCCCACTCCTCAGCCTCCTAAAGTGCTGGGATTACAGGCATAATTGCACCACCGCACCCGGCAAAATTGGCCATTGTTAAGGGTACAGTTCAGTGGAATTAACTAAACTTTGTAGTGTTGTGTAACCATCACCAACATCCATCTCCTGAACCCTTTTCATCTTGTAAAACTGAAACTCTGTATTCATTAAACAATAATCCCCATTACCCCTTTTTCCCAGCCATCACCATTCTACTTTCTGTCTCTATGATTTTGACTACTCTAGGTACGCCATATAAGTGAAATCATACAGTATTTATTGTTTTGTGACTGGCTTCATTTACTCAGCACAATGTCCTCAAGCTTCATTCTCATTGTAGCTTGTGTCAGAATTGCCTTCCTTTTCAGGGCTGAATAATATTCCATTGAATTGACAGACCTCATTTTGCTTATCCATTCTTCCATTGATGGATATGTGAGTTTCTCCACATTTTAGCAATTATGAATAATACTGCTATGAACATGGGATCTCTTTGAGACCCTCCTTTTAATTCTTTTGGGTACATACCTGGAAGTGGAATTGCTGGGTCACATGGATAATTCTGTTTAATTTTTTGAGGCATCACCATCTGTTTTCCGCAGCAGCTGTGCCACTTTGCATTCCCACCAGCAGCACGCAAGCGTTCGAATTTCTCCGCACGCTCCCCAACAGTGAGTAGTGGACTGTTCTCCGGGGCTGCCTGGCTCCTTTCTCTGGGGAGCTCGAAAGGGGCACTTTACTTAGGGATGCCAGAACTCCTGGAATCCTGACTCCTTTTGAGTTTCTAAGGTTTCTAGAAGATCCCAGGGCCCTAGGGGAAGCCCACTGTGGGAGTGATGGCCTGGCTCTTGGCCTGGGGTGCACACTGGGCTGGGGAGCGCTGGTTCCAGGCACGCAGGGGTGAGGAAGTAGCTGTGTGCATAAACACTGTGTGTATATAAACCTGTGTAAACCAAAGTGGGAAGTTGCTGCTATGCCGGGAGACCCAGGCTCATTTGGAGATGTTCAGTAAGCATCTGACATAGGGCCTGGAAGTCTCTCCCTCAAAGGGCTGCATCTGGGCTCCGGTTCTGCCATCAGGACAGCCAGGCTGGCCAGGTGCGATAGCTCACGCCTGTAATCCCAACACTTTGGGAGGCCGAGGCAGGTGGATCACTTGAGGTCAGGAGTTCAAGACCAGCCTGGCCAACATGGCAAAACTAAAAATACAAAAATTAGCCAGGCGTGGTGGCACATACCTGTAGTCCCAGCTACTCGGGAGGCTGAGGCAGAAGAATTGCTTGAACCTGGGAGACGAAGGTTGCAGTGAGCCGAGATGGCACCACTGCACTCTAGCCTGGGCAACAAAGTGAGACTCCAGCTAGGCTGGACTCTGCCTGAGAGAAGCTGAGGTTCCCAGACATATGGCAGGAGGAGGACTGATGCTAGGGAGGGGACAGAGCCTGCTCATGATAGACAGCAGGGGCTGGCCTCCCTGGGCCCTGAACCCCGTGGGTGTTCCCAGAGGATGGAGCTCTTAGCCCCTGAGTCAGCCTCACACACGACTGGGTCTGCTCCCTTGGGCCTCCCTACTCCCTCGGGCTCAGCAGAGCCTCAAGCCCAGCACAGATGAAATAGCTCTTGGCTGGATGGTGGCCCAAAGGGCCTTGTGATCATCCTTCCGCACAGTGGTCTTCACCATCCACGGAGAAGGGAAAGCAACAGAAGCTGAGAGCCAAGCATGGGGCCTGGAGGTCGGACAGACTTGTGCCACCCATTGGCTTGAGCAGGGACCCCATCTCTCTCAACCCCAGTCTCTTCACCTGTACGCTGGAGCTAATAATGACGGTGGCTGCCTGATCGAGCAGGTGATGATTCAATGGCGCAATGTACAACATACAGCCGGCACCAGGCACATTGTAAGTAAATGGCCCTGTTTCCATCAGAAAGGAGAACAGCTGCCTGGACTGAATATGCAACAGGACACCCGGAATGTGTTTTTTGGATGCATCAGCTCACTTTCTAGCCACTGGCCTCTTCTAGAAGTTGCACACAGATAAAAGGTCCCAGTTAATGAGGATTCTGGTTAAAGTTTTAAAATTCACAGCAAGCCCACTCCGCATAATAATGTATCAGAAACACAACAATCCTTTAATCTAGAAGGAATTAATTGCTGGGCCCAGAAATTCAGGGCACGCTGACAGAATCCTTAATTTCTCGAGCTGATGGTTTCAAAAAGCGACTGATTTTAGACTGGCTTCTCTCTAGGCGTACGTAAGGCTCCCACAGCCCCAACAAAAGGCGAGATTGTCTTGGTGTCTAACTCAGTAAGAATCACGTATGTGGGGTCTGAATTAATGTCAGCTCTGAATTTTTCCTGCTGAGTGGAACGTGGTGGACCTTAACCCCCAGGAGATTCAATGGCAGCTCTGTGGCCTGGGCACCCCAGGCATCGTCCAGGGAACGTCCTCACTCGTCCCACATGTGTTTACAGAGCGCCTACTCTGAGCCAAAGCTCAGGTTCTGTGTTGGAAATGCAGGAGCCAGCAAGACCAGCCTCAAAGACAGACACACAAACCCACGGTCAGATAACTGCTTGACTGCACGTCGTAAAAAGGAATGAGGCAGGGTGTCTGAAAGGACATAACAGGCTGGGCACAGTGACGCACACTTGTAATCCCAGCACTTTGGGAGGCTAAGGCGGGAAGATCACTTGAGGCCAGAAATTCAAGTCCAGCCTGGGCAACATAGTGAGATCCTGTCTCTGCAAAAATTAAAATATTACCTGGGTATGGTGGTGCATGCCTGTGGTCTCAGCTGCTCAGAAGGCTGAGGCAGGAGGATTGCTTGAGCCAGGGAGGTTGAGGCTGCAGTGAGCCGTGATTGCACCCTTGCACTCCAGCCTGGGTGACAGAACAAGACCCTGTCTTAAAAAAAAAAAAAAAAGAGAGAGGACAATAGGGCCCTAATTTAGATGACAGGGCCTGGCAGATAGGGCCACAGATCTTATAAAATGTTTTTATTTATTTATTTTTTGAGATGGAGTCTCGCTCTGTCTCCCAGGCTGGAGAGCAGGGGCCTGATCTCGGCTCACTGCAAGCTCCGCCTCCCAGGTTCATGCCATTCTCCTGCCTCAGCCTCCGGAGTAGCTGGGACTACAGGCGCCCGCCAACACGCCTGGCTAATTTTTTGTATTTTTAGTAGAGACGGGGTTTCACCGTGTTAGCCAGGATGGTCTCAATCTCTTGACCTCATGATTGGCCTGCCTTGGCCTCCCAAAGTGCTGGGATTACAGGTGTGAGCCACCGCGCCTGGCCTTTTTATTAGTATTATTATTTTGAGACAAGTTCTCACTCTGTTGTTCAGGCTGCAGTGCAGTGGCATGATCACAGCTCACTGCAGCTTGGAACTCCTGGGTTTAAGTGATCCCCCTGCCTCAGCCTCCTGTGTAACTGGGATTACAGGAGTGTACCACCATGCCCAGCTAATTTTTTTTTTTTTTAATAGGGACAAGAGCTTGCCGTGTTGCCCCAGGCTGGTCTCAAACTCCTAGCCTCAAGCAAACTTCCTGTCTCGGCCTTTCAAAACCCTGAGATTACAAGCATAAGAAAAGAAAATCTTGTAAGATGAAAGCTGAAGGATGAGAGCAATTAATTGATGAAGTATGATGATCCAGGTGTCCCTGGGTGAAGAAACAACCTCTACAAAGGCCCTGAGGTAGGAATATGCCATTATAGGACCTAGGAGCTGTTCTCAGGGAGCTGACGGTGATTGAGGCTCATGGAACAAGAAAAGAAAAATCATCATCACCATTGTCACTATCACTACCATAGTCAGATGAAGGTGAAGTCTTACAAATACTTCATATGGGGCCAGGTGTGGTGGTGTGTGCCTGTAATCCCAGCACTTTGGGAAACCAAGGTGGGAGGATTGCTTGAGACCAGGAGTTTGAGACTGGCCTGGGCAACATAGCGAGATTCTATCTCTGCAATTTTTTTTTTTAATTAGTGTGACGTGTTAGTATGCGCTTATAGTCACAACTACTCAGGAGGGTGAGGTGGGAGGATTGCCTAAGCCCAGGAGTTTGAGGCTGCAGTGAGCTATAATTGCACCACTGCACCCAGCCTGGGCAACAGAGTGAGACCCTGTCTCAAAAACAAAAGAAACAAAAAGCCTCATGTAGGATCATATACACCAGGCCCTGTACATATTCCCAGGAGAATCTGAGCACCATTTAGGGCCCCAAAGGGATCATCTTGGGTGCAGACTGGGAGGCAGGAGACAGCCAGGTAAGGACATAGGCTCTGGGTCAGATGACCTGGCTTTGCATCCTGACTCCCCTCTTAAGGCAGGAGAGAAGGCTCCCCTCCCCTCCCCGTCTCACTCTGCCACCCAGGCTGAAGTGCAATGGTGCAATCATGGCTCACTGCAGTCTCGACCTCCCAGGCTCAAGTGATCCTTTGGACCACAGGCATGTGTCACCGTGCCTGGCTAGTTTGTTGTTGTTGTTGTTGTTGTTTGTATTTTTAGTAGAGATGGGGTTTCCCCATGTTGCCCAGGCTGGTCTCGAACTCCTGGGCTCAGCAGTCCACCCACCCCTGCCTCCCAAAGTGCTGGGATTACAGGTGTGAGCCACCGTGCCTGGCCTGTAGTTACAATAAACTACAGAGTGTAAAATTTCACCAGTTTGACATGTCTTCACCTGGGAAATCATCTCCACAATCAAGACAGTGAATCTATCCACCACCCCCAAAAGTTTTCTCATTCCCCTTGGTCACCCACCTCTCTCCTGATTCCCAGGCAAACACTGATCTGCTTTCTGTCACTATAGATTATTTTGCATTTTCTAGGATTTTTCTTCTTTTTAAGAGACAGGGTCTCACTCTGTTACCCAGGCTGGAGTGTAGTGGCATGATCATAGCTCACTGCAGCCTTGAACTCTCAGGCTCAAGCGATCCTCCCACCCCAGCCTCCCAAAGTAGCTGGGAAGACAGATGCACACTGCCACACTTGGCTAATTTTTATTTTTTATTTTTTGTAGAGATGGGGTCTCCCTATGCTTCCCAGGCTGGTCTCGAACTCCTGGACTCAAGCAATCCTCCTGTCTTGACCTCCCAAAGTGCTGGGATTACAGGCGTGAGCCGCCTCACCTGGCCTATAGAATTTTATACAAATGAAATCATACTGTATGTACTCTTTTTTGGTCTGGCTTCTTTTATGCAACATAATAATTTAAGCTTCACCCATGTCATTGTGCATATTACTAGTTCATTTCTTTTTCCTGCTAGGTATGTTTCACAACTTGTTTGTCCACTCACCTGTTGATGGACATTAAGTTGGTTACCAGTTTGGGGCTATTATAAATAATGCTGCTATGAACATTTGCATACACATTTTTGTATTGCCATATGTGTTCATTTATCTTGGTTAGATACCTAGGAGTGGACCTGCTGGGTCTCAAGGTAATTGTATGTGAAGTATGAGAGAAACTGCCAAGCTGTTTTTCTTTTCCTTCTTTTTTTTTTGAGATGGAGTCTCGCCCTGTCGCCCAGGCTAAAGTGCAATGTTACAATCTCGGCTCACTGCAACCTCTGCCTCCTGGGTTCAAACAATTCTCCTGTCTCAGCCTCCTGAGTAACTGGAATTATAGGCATGCAACACCACACCTGGCTAATTTTTGTATTTTTAGTAGAGATGGGGTTTGGCCATGTTGGTCAGGCTGGTCTCGAACTCCTGACTTCGTGTGATCCACCTGCCTCAGCTTCCCAAAGTGCTGGGATTACAGGCATGCACCACTGCGCACAGCCCAAGCTGTTTTTCAAAGTGATTGTAAAACAGTACCTAAAAGCTCCAGTTGCTCCACAACGTCACCAACCCTTGGTATTGCCAGTTATTCAAATTTAAGCCATTCTAATAGATGCGTAGTAGTCTCGCTGTGATTTTAATTGGCATTTCCCTAATGATTGATGCTATGGAGCATCTTTTCACCTGCTTATTTGTCATCCGTACGTGTTTTTTTGATCAAGTGTCTGTTTCAATTATTTGTTCCCCATGGGCACTCTTAAAAATTCTTTGTTTTCGTATTATTGAGCGTTGAGAGTTCTTTATATATTCTGGATATGAGTCTTTTTTAAATCAGATATGTGATTTACGAATATCTTCTTTCAATCTGTGACTTGTCTTTTTATTCTCTTAACAGTGTCTTTCTTTTTCTTTTTGAGACAGGGTCTCGCTCATCACCAGGCTGGAGTACAGTGACATGATCATGGCTCACTGCAGCCTCAACCTCCCGGGTTCAGGCTATCCTCCCACCTCAGCCTCCCAGGACCACAGGCGTGTGCCACCATGCCCAGCTAATTTTTTGTAGAGATGGGGTTATGCCATGTTGCCCAGGCTGGTCTCGAGCTGCTGGGCACAAGCAATCTACCCATCTCAGTCTCCCAAAGTGCTGGCATTATAGTCGTGAGCCACTGTGCCCAGCCAACAGCGTCTTTCAAAGAGCAGAGAGAGGTTAATTTTGATGATGTCCAGTTTGCACCTTTGTTGAAAATTGACCATATATCTGTGAGTCTGTTTCTAGACTCTTTGTTCTGCTTTATTAAACTACTTGTCTATTTGTACACCAATGCCACACTGTCTTCATTGCTGTGCCTTTGTAATAAGTTTTAAAGTTAGGTCATTTAAGTCCTTTAATTTTGTTCCTCTTTTTCAAAGTTGTTTTGACTATTCTAAGCTTTTGCATTTCCAATACATTTTGTAATCAGCTTGTAAATTTCTACCAAAAAAGCCTGCTGAGACTTTGACTGAAATTATGTTGAGTTTGTAGATTAATTTGGGAAGAATTGACATATTGACAGTATCGAGTCTCTCAACCCATGAACATGGTATACCTCTCCATTTATTTAGACCTTTAGAGCTTTTTCTCAGAAACATTTTGTAGCTTTTTTTTTTTTTTTTTGAGACGGAGTCTTGCCCTGTCACCCAGGCTGGAGTGCAGTGGCACGATTTTGGCTCACTATAACCTCTGCCTCCCGGGTTCACGCGGTTCTCCTGCCTCAGCCTCCCAGGTTCACGCGGTTCTCCTGCCTCAGCCTCCTGAGTAGCTGGGATTACAGGCAGGCGCCACCATGCCCGGCTAATTTTTGTATTTTTAGTGGAGACGGGGTTTCACCATCTTGGCCAGGATGGTCTCGATCTCTTGACCTCGTGATCCGCCCGCCTCAGCCTCCCAAAGTGCTGGGATTACAGGCATGAGCCACCACGCCCAGCTTGTTTTGTAGCTTTAATTGTATAGGCCTAACATACTTTTTTGTTCTGTTTAGTCTATTTCATATTTTTATGCTACCGTAAATAGTATTTTTTAAAATTTCAATGTCCAGGTGTTTTTTGCTAGTAATATATTTTTTATGTTGATCTTGTATCTTTCAACCTTATTATACTCATTTATTAGTTCCAGCAGCTTTTTTGCAAATTCCATCAGATTTTTAACTTAGATGAACATTTTTTTTTTTGCAAATAAAGGCAACTTTTCTTCTTTATATCAAATCTGAATTTTTTTTATTTCCTTTTCTTGTCTGATTATATGGGCTAGAATCTCCAATACAATGTTGAATAGAAGTGGTGAGAGTAGACAGACCTGTCTTGTTCATGATCTTAGGGGAAAAACATTAATGAACCCTAATGTTCATTATAGGGTTTTGTTTGGTAGATGCCTTTTATTAGGTAAGAAGATTCCCTTCTATTCCTGGCTTGCTTAATTTTTTTTTTAACAATCAGGAACGAATCTTGGATTTTGCCAAATGTTTTTTCTGCCTTTAATGAAATGATCTGATCATTTTAATTGTTTAGTCTGTTAATACAGTGAATTACACTGATTGATTTTCCAGTGTTAAAGCCACTTTGCAGTCCTAGGAGAAATCCCACTGGTTGTGATGTACAGTTGTCTTCCCTTATCCATGGGGGATGTGTTCCAAGACCCCTAGTGAATGCCTGAAACCTCAGATAGTACCAAACCCTATATACACTATGTTTTTTCCTGTACAGACATACCTATGATAAAGCCTAATTTATAAATTAGGCACAGTAAGATATTAACAATAACTAATAATAAAATAGAACAATTATAACAATATACTGTAATAAAAGTTATATGAATGTGGTCTCTCTCTGTTTTCTTTTACTATACTATGGGTAGCCAAAACCGTAAGAAGTGAAACTCCAGATAAAGGGGGACTACTGTATTATTTATTAATAAATAGTCATGAGTCACTTAACGATGGGGATATGTTCTGAGAAATGTGATTTGATTTGATTTCATCATTGTGTGAACATGACAGAGTGCACTCACGCGAACCTAGCTGAGATAGCCTACTACACACCTAGGCTATGTGGTGTAGCCTATTTCCCCTAGGCTACAAATCTGTACAGCATGTGACTGTACTGAATACCATAGGTAACTGTATCACAGTGGTATTTGTGCATCAAAACGTAGAAAAGGTACAGTAAAAATACAGTATTATAATTTTTTTTTTTTTGAGACAGGATCTTACTCTGTTGCCCAGGCTGGAGTGCAGTGGCACGATCTCAGCTCACTGCAACCTCCGCCTCCTGGGCTCAAGCCATCCTCTCATCTCAGCCTCCCATGTAGCTGGGACCACAAGCACAAGCCACTATGCCTGGCTAATTTTAAAAAATTTTTTTGTAGAGATGGGGTTTTGCCATGTTGCCCAGGCTGGTCTTGAACTCCTGGGCTCAAGCTACCCACCTGCCCTGGCCTCCCAAAGTGCTGGGATTACAGGCATAAGCCACTGCACCTGCCCCAGAATTATAATCTTATGGGATCACTATTGTATATGTGGTCCATCATTGACGGAAATGTCATTATGTAGCAAATGACTATTACATATTCAGAGACAACTTCTGGTATAGTGGTGTGAGGAGCTCCACCTACCCTCTGCCCAGAGAAATAACTATAACTGGTAAATATTATATGAAAAAACAACCATTTAAAGTCTCTGGAAATTGTCCTGAGGTCACACAGCAAATGAAACATTTATTCAAGAAAATCGGCTGGGGCCGGGCGCAGTGGCTCACACCTGTAATCCCAGCACTTTGGGAGGCTCAGGCAGGCGGATCATGAGGTCAGGAGATTGAGACCATCCTGGCGAACATGGTGAAACCCCGTCTCTACTAAAAATACAAAAAAATTAGCCAGGCGTGGTAGTGGGTGCCTGTAGTCCCAGCTACTCGGGAGGCTGAGGCAGGAGAACGGTGTGAACCCGGGAGGTGGAGCTTGCAGTGAGCAGAGATCGTGCCATTGCACTCCAGCCTGGGCAACAGAGTGAGACTCCATCTCAAAAAAAAAAAAAAAAAAAGAAAGAAAGAAAAAAAAGAAAATCGGCCTGGCGCAGTGGCTCACGCCTGTAATTCCAGCACTTTGGGAGGCTGAGGCAGGCGGATCATGAGGTCAGGAGTTCGAGACGAGCCTGGCGAATGTGGTGAAACCCGGTCTCTATTAAAAATACAAAAAAATTAGCCGGGCATAGTGGCACGCGCTTGTAGTCCCAACTACTCGGGAGGCTGAGGCAGAAGAATCGCTTGAACCCAGGAGGCAGAGGTGGCAGTGAGCCGAGATCACCCCACTGCACTCCAGCCTGGGCAACAGAGCAAGACTGTCTCAAAAAAAAAAAAAAAAAAAAAAAAGAAGAAGAAAAAAGAATCTATTTAATCTCAGAACAGTAGAACAGTGAGAGCCTGTGGCATTTGAGCCATGGCCCATTCTCTCCCTTCCCCGTCCCCCCAGCTCAGCGAGATGGATGTTCTACTCCAGGTGGATGCAGCCAAGAACACAGGTCTCCCTCTCCTCAGTCTCAGCTGGGGAGCTAGAGTATCTCCCTAGGAAGGGCAGGACATCAGCATTTCTCATCCACCACGTCCTGTGTTGTAGATACTCCATTCTAGGCAAGAGTGGCTGAGAGTTCTGGGGTTCTCCTCCTCTACCCAGCCCCACTCTGTAAGGTGGAAGCTCTACCTTAGGTGCAGCAGGCCAAAAAAATGCCTGGTTGCATTTGCCCCAGCTCATTCATAGGGTAGAGGTTCCATAACATAAGTAGCAAGCCAAGAAGATCAGAAGCTACTGCCCCATCCAGCAGCCTGTTCATAAAGCACGTGTGTTATTCTCTGAGAAGGGGGCCCATTCTCCCTACCTCCAGAGCAGTTGTGCAGAGGTTTTGCCCAGAAAGTGGCAGGCTGTAAGAACAGAGGGATCTTAAGGGAACTGACTTCCTTTGGAACTGAGTGTGGAGGAGTTCCAGCTTAAGGGGAAAAGCAATGGAGATTTTGATGGTAAGCAATTTTGGTGGCAAGCAATTATGAGGAGGCTAGTAGCTTGTCAGATTAACAAACTAAACTATAGAGTAGCTACTGAGAAGAACGCTCCTGGAGTTGTAACAAACCTCAAAGACTGGCCTCAAAGAGTACCTTTGCAAAAGGGCCTGAATTTAATTGAATCACATGTGGAGCAATTTCTACCCCAGGGCACTGTTGAAAACAATAGAGCAATTAGTTATCAATGGAGGATAATAGCTGGGTACGATTCCAACAAAGCCAGACAGCTTGACAGAGAAATCATAAAAAGAGACAAAGAGACCCCTGCTAAAACCACTGTCACCTAGGGTGACCCCGGTCATGCCCAAGGCTGCTTTCTCTGAGGAGTAAAATCAGAAGCTGCATACTTAGGAGAAATAGACTTCGCTAAAATAGTCCAGCTAAGTCACTAAACAAATAAGCAAACAAAAAAGAGCCCCAGAATGTGAGAGTTCAGTGTTTAGAGTGCTACAGTATATTCTCTAAAATGTCCAGTGGTTAACAACCATTTATGAGACATGAAAAAAAAAAAGCAGGAAAGTGTGACCAGACATAAGAAAAAGAAAAGCAGGCAACAGAAACTACCTTTAATCTTCAGAGTATGCAAATTCAGTAAAAAAGAAAAATAAATAAAAAAAGAAAGAAACTTCCCCTCAGAGGGTCCAGATATCAGGCTTAGCCAAGACTCCAAAGCAACTGTTATAAATATTTTCAGAGAACTAAAGAAAAGAATGCTTAAGAAAATAAAGGAAAATAATTTCTTGTCAAAATAGAGACTATCAATAAAGAGATAGAAATTATAAAATAGCACCAAATGAAAATTCTGGAGTTGGAATACAATAACTAAAATGAAAACTTCATTAGAGAGATCCAGCAGTAGAATGAATGGACAAAAGAATGAATCAGCAATTGTAAGGAGAGATTAACAGAGATTACACAATTGAAAGAGCAGAGAGACGGAAAAAATGCAGAAAAATGAACACAGCCTTAGAGAAATGTGGAAAACCATTAAGCACAACAACATACATGTAATTGGAGTATCAGAAGAAGAAAGAGAAAGGAGCAGAAAAAATATTTGAAGAAATAATGCTTGAAAACTTCCCAATTTTGAGGAAAACAATCTACACATATCCAAGAAGTTTAATGGACTCCAGGTCAGAATTTGCAAATATGCAAATATATCCAGACATATTGTAGTGAAATGATTAAATGATCAAAAACAAAGAGGCTATAATCCCAGCTACTCAAGAGGCTGAGGTGGGAGGATAACTTGAGCCCAGGAGTTTCAGTTTAGCCTGGGCAACACAGTAAGACATCATCTCTAAACAAACAAACAAATAAAAAGCAAAGCATTAAGTGAAAAAAGACTCATCAAAGAGAACAGCACCTCAGACTAACAGCTGACTTGTCATCAGAAACAGTGAAGGATAGAAGCCAAAGTGCTGACGGGAAAAATAAGTATCAACCAAGAATTGTATATCCAGCAAAGCTGTCTTTTAAAACTGAAGGTGAGGCTGGGCGAGGTGGCTCACGCCTGTAATCCCAGCACTTTGGGAGGCCAAGGTGTGTGGATCACAAGGTCAGGAGATCGAGACCATCCTGGCTAATGCGGTGAAACCCTGTCTCTACTAAAAATACAAAAAATTAGCCGGGTGTAGTGGCAGGTGCCTGTGGTCCCAGCTACTCCGGAGGCTGAGGCGTGAACACGGGAGGCAGAGCTTGCAGTGAGCCAAGATGGCACCACTGCACTCCAGCCTGGGCGACAGAGTGACACTCCGTCTCAAAAAAATAAATAAATAAATAAAACTGAAGGTGAAATAAAGACATTTCCAGATGTGCAAATACTGAGAAAATTTATTATATACTATTGAATTTAATTTGCCAAAATTTTGTTGAGAATTTTTCTATGTTCATGAGTAACATTGGATTTTAGGTTTTCTGTTCTTTTTTAAAAAATTTTACATACAATTTTGTTGCTTCCTAAACTCACCTGACCTTAAAACCTTTTTCTGTTTTTTTATAATACTGTGGTCTGGTTTTGGTATCAATAAAATACTGGCCTCATAGAATGAATAAATTAGGAAATGTTTCTCCCAGTTCAATTTTCTGGAAGTTTGTGTAAAATTGGTATTCTTGGCTACTTGGGAGGCTAAGGTGTGGGGATCATATGAGCCCAGGAGTTTGAGTCCAATCTGGACAATACAGAGAGACCCTGTCTTAAAAAAATTGCTACCATTTATTCCTTCAATGTTTGGGGTCAGCCAATCCAGAATCATACACCAGTAAAAGATCCATTCAAAGTGTAAGGTCAGTGGATTTCACTGTCACAAAGTACAAAAACTCCATTGACCTGGTTTCAGATTTTACACTGCAACTAACCTTTGAAAAACTACCACTTTTTGCATTTTGGTTTATATCAAAGAAGAATATCCATGCTTATCTAAAAACCTCCTCCATAGCTGGGTGCGGTAGCTCATGCCTGTAATCCCAGCTCTTTGGGAGGCCAAGGCAGGTGGATCACTTGAGCACAGGAGTTCGAGACCAGCCTGGGAAACATGGTGAAACCCTGTTTCTATCAAAAATAATAGAATAAAATAAATAAAATAGCTCCTCTTTTTTCCACTCCCATATCTGTGGGATGGAAGTTTCTTCATATACTGCAACCAAAACAACAACATATTACAACAGACTGAATGCAGAAACAGGTATGAGAATACAGTTGTCTTCTCTACAGCCAGACACTGAAAAGATTTGCAAAAAAACCACCACCAACAACAAATACACAGAAAAGAAGCTATTCTTTTTAGTAATATTTAAAAATATATATTTTTAATAAAAATATAATGTTTATGCTAAGAAATGCACCGTTTTTTTTAAAGCAAACCAGATTTTAAGTTCTCTATTTAAATTTCTGATGACGTGTTAGTTTCCCATTGCTGCTATAACAAATTACCACAGATTTCATGGCTTAAAACAAGATGTATGGCTGGGCGTGGTGGCTCACGCCTGTAATCCCAGCACTTCGGGAGGCCAAGGCGGGCAGATCATGAGGTCAGGAGATTGAGACCATCCTGGCTAACACGGTGAAACCCAGTCTCTACTAAAAAATACAAAAAATTAGCCAGGCATGGTGGCGGGCGCCTGTAGTCCCAGCTACTCGGGAAGCTGAGGCAGAATAGCGTGAACCCGGGAGGCGGAGCTTGCAGTGAGCCGAGATCGCGCCACTGCACTCCAGCCTGGGCAACAGAGCGAAGACTCTATCTCCAAAAAAACAAATAAACAACAACAAAAACAAAACAAAACAAAAAGCAAGATGTATTCTCTTACCGTTCTGAAAGCCAGAAGTCTGAAATGGATCTCAGTGGGGCAAAATCAAGGCAAGGCATCTGCAGGGCTGTTTCTAGAGGCTCCAGGGGACAAACCATTCTTTGCTTTTTCCAGATACCAAGGCAACCCCATGTCTTGGCTCGTGGCCCCATGCCACATGGCCTTCTCTTCTTCTGCATCCATCATCACATTGCCACCTTCTGCCCTTGACCTTCCCGCGTCCCTTTCATAAGGACCCTTGTGCTAATGCTGGGCCCATTCAGATAATCCAGGATAATCCCCCCATCTCAAAGTTCTTAATCACATCTGGAAATCCCTTTGCCATATAATGGGACAGATTCACAGATTCAGGGATTAGGATGTGGATCTCCTTTGAGGGCCATTATTCAGCCTTTTACATACGGTAAGAATCAGGAGTCATGCGCCCCATACACAGAAGCTCCTTGGGGTCTTTGGTAATCCTCTGAGTGTAGAGAGGTCCCAGCAATGGCTGCTCTGGGCTATCAAAGTGAGTGGGCCTGGGGGATTTTCTTGAACAGCCTCCCCTGCTTGATGCCCAGGGAACCCAGGCCAGGTCGCAGCTTGAGGGCAGCACAGAGCATGGCCAGGTCAGATCCCTGCTTGATGCCCAGGGAACCCAGGCCGGGTCACAGCTTGAGGGCAGCACAGGGCATGGCCAGGTGAGTGCCTCTGCTGTTCTATAGCCGTGTGGGCAGCAGCCCAAAGAGCTGGGTCTGCAGCAGGGCTGAGTGCGAATCCTGCTTGGGTCCCTCTGTGTTGCAGGTCCGTGAACTCAATATGTTCACAACCAAACCTGTGACCTTCCACCTAAACCTGTACCACCACCCGCGTCTGCCCCACCCTTCCCTGGTGCCCAAGCCCTTGTTCTCCTTCACAGACCACCCACCTCCCCACCCAAACCATAGGAAATTCCACCAGCATTCCTTCCAAAACACCTCTCAAACTTACTCCTTCTCTACCCAACTCCACTCCTGGTCCAAGCCACCGACACCTCCCATCTCCGTGACTGCAAAGCTCCCTTGCTGGTCTCAAGCCTTCAGCCCTGTCCCTCCCAGTCCACTTCCCAGCCACAACCTCTGGGAATAAATGCGATGGCAATCTGGCAGGGCTGCCTCCTGCCTCACCTCCTCGTGGCTCCCCATTGCCCTCGTGGCAAACGTCCAGCGTGCCTGCTGCTGCTGAGCCCTCCAGCCTCATCTCTTGCCACATCCCCACTTGCACCCCAAGCTCCAGGCAGACGAGCACTGCTTGGCTCCTCAAACCAGCCAGCATCTCTGGCCTGTGAACCTGAGCACGTTCTGTGCCTCGGCTCCCTCTCCCCGTCCCCTGCCCAGGGGTCATTCCTGGGCATCCCCTGAATTTCTGGGGTGGGTTGAGGGCCTCTGTAGTCACTCGGGTGTCCTAGGCTTGTCCCTACTGGGCCCCTAATATCCCTCCAGGCTTGGCCCAGGTTAGACTTGGGGAGGGCGCATGGAACAGTTGTGAACAAATTGATAAGAATTCCAGGTACGTGGGGAGGGAGGTCATCCACGGAGAGGTCCCCCCCAAAACCCTCAAGGACCTCAACTGGAAGGTGAACCCCAAAGGGAAAAGGAGCCCCATCTACCCCTGCTCCAGAGGCCCAGGGGTGACGCTGTGGAGGGGTCAGAATCAGGGACTCTGCCCACAGCCACTGCACCATAGAAGGCCGCAGAGCCACTCAGGAGGGGCGGGAAGACAGCCACGGGTGACCAGGATTCTCTCATTCTTGCCTTGACCAAACTCTACTCTGCCACCCCGGACTCTTTTATTACCCTTAAGATGGTATCTCACACTGTCACCCAGGCTGGAGTGCAGTGGTGAAATCTCGGCTCACTGCAACCTCTGCCTCCCAGGTTCAAGTGATTCTCCTGCCTCAGCCTCCCCAGTAGATGGGATTACAGGCGTGCACCACCACGCATGGCATATTTTTGTATTTTTAGTAGAGACGGGGTTTCGCCATGTTGGCCAGGCTGGTCTGAAACTCCTGTCCTCAAGTGATTCACCTGCCTCAACCTCCCAAAGTGGTGGGATTACAGGCGTGAGCCACTGCGCCTGGCCCCTGGGCTCTTTTTCAACCAGGCCTGACCTTTTGACTTCCGTGGTCACCTCTGTATTGTCCAGTTTTAGCAGGAATCCTGCTAAGTCAGTTTATCCAGAGCCCCCCGTATCTGACCACCTTCCATGTCTGACTGGGTTCCTCTTCCTCCACCACCCCTAGGTGCTGTCTGAGCACCCTGGCCTGTCTTCAGCAGGAATTCTGTTAGGTGGGTTTAGCTGGAACCCCTCTTCGCTCGGATGTTTCGTTTTAGTCACTTTCCATCCAGTGCCCCCCACCCTGCTCCTTGGCGATCAATCCCAATATCTCTCCCGAACTGCAAAACCCCATCAATCTCAGTGGCTCCCCACTGCATAAAGTCAGCCTGACCATCCTTAACAAGTGTCATGAATGATAATGGTGGGCTTTGCAGCTGGCCTCGTGCCCTCCCTTCTGGGCTTAGCAAAACACTCCCGCTCAACCCTGGTTCTCCTCAGATGACCAAAGGCTTTCCTCCTCACATTGGATGTACATTTCTTCTTTGTTTTAGAGACAGGGTCTTGCTCTGTTACCCAGGCTGATGTACAGTGGCACAATCATAGCTCACTGCAGCCTGGAACTGGACTCGAGCAATCCTCTTGCCTCAGCCTCCTGGGTAGCTAAGACTACAGCTGTGCCCAGCGAATTAACCACAATGCCCAGGGAATTAATTATTTATTATTATTATTACTGTGAGATGGGGTCTCATTCTGTCGCCCAGGCTAGAGTACAGTGGTACAATCATGGTTCATTGCATGATTTTTTTATTTTTTGTAGAGACGAGGTTTTGCTGTGTTACCCAGGCTGGTCTCAAACTCCTGGGCTCAAGCGATCCGCCTGCCTTGGCCTCCCAAAGTGTTGGAATTATAGGTGTGAGCCACCGCGCCTGGCCTCATGTACATTTCTAAATCTCCCATGCCAGGACCTCTGAGGTTTCTGCAGACCACACTCTCTCCTTCCACCCCTCATCACCTTTCCTCTGCAAGGGGCCTCCCTTTCTGGCCTGGACCCCTCCACACTCCCCAGCCACCCCTTCTCCCCAGCTCAGCCTGTCCACCCTGCTGCTCCCCTTGAGTCTTCCCTGAGGCTCAGGGAGTCCAGGTTGGGGGTGCTTGGGTCTCAGCAGGGCCAGCACTCACCACTGGTGTTCCTTGCCATACCCTGTGTAAGGCCCCAGAGCAGGCCCACCTGTGGCCTCTATGAGATCTCAGTATCGGACTAATTAACACCCTCAACCCATGCCATGGGGCCCCTGATGTGTTCCCAGCACTGGACCAGGTCGGGGAATCCAGAGATTATGTTCAGACCCAGCCCTGCCTTCCTGGAGCCCTCAGAGAGCCAAGCCAGCAACAGTCCTCACCTGGCTCAGCCAGGACACTGGTTGCCTAGATAGGACATGCGAACCAGTCACAGGCAGACCTGCAAATGGGTTTCACTGTCCAGAATTGAATGGATGGCTACCCAGCTGTGGCAGGGCGAAGGCATTACTGAGCAAAAGGGGCTCACTGCCCCATGTGCTAAAAGCCAATGCTATGACACTGAGTTTTTTTTTTTTTTTTTGAGATGGAGTCTTGCTCTGTTGTCCAGGCTGGAGTGCAGTGGCGCCATCTCAGCTCACTGCAACCTCCACCTCCTGGGTTCAAGCAATTCTCCTGCCTCAGCCTCCCGAGTAGCTGGGATTACAGGCATCCGCTACCATGCCCAGCTAATTTTTGGATTTTTAGTAAAGATAGGGTTTCTCCATGTTGGCCAGGCTGGTTTCAAACTCCTGACCTCATGATCCACCTGCCTTGGCCTCCCAAAGTGCTGGGATTACAAACATGAGCCACCGCGCCTGGCCGACGCTGGGTTTTTGAGAAAAGAAAAGCTTTTATTGCAAGTTGATTTACAAGGGGATAGGAGTCCAGCTCAAAGCTGCCTCCCTGTACTGGCTTTAAGGCAGTAATTTTATTGGAAAAGGTTTATGGGGTGGAAGGAAAGGGAGGTCCTTGGGCAGGCGCAGTTATCCTTCATGCCTCATGGGTCGCATGTGCAAATCAGGAGACATTAGTGTGAAACACGCGGTGGAAATTTAGGCTTTGATGTCTGAAAGCCTGCTCTGCACAGACTCCCATTGGCCATCTTGGTTCCAGCCAATTTCAGCCAGTTTCTAAAATCTCACAAGCGGAGGGAGTGTCAGCTTTTTAGGAAGTTGTTTCTTTTCTTACCTGCTATCCTGCAAACTCAAGAATTTCTGTTAGTCCCTGACGTCTTTAACTCCTTGGGGCATAGTTTCGGAGGGACCCATAGGGGCGGCAACACAGACGTGCGACCTGTGGGCTGCTGCCCAGGGCCTTGTGGGCAGAGGGTCCCTGTGCTCCATTTAATGCTCTGCTGTTGCTGTCTTGAAATTCTTCATAGTTTTCCAATGGGGACTGCTCATTGTCATTCTCTCTTTTTTTTTTTGAGATGGAGTTTCATTCTTGTTGCCCAGGCTGGAGTGCAATGGCATGATCTTGACTCACTGCAACCTCCACTTCCCAGTTTCAAGCGATTCTCCTGCCTCAGCCTCCTGAGTAGCTGGTATTACAGGTGTCTGCCACCATGCCTGGCTAATTTTTGTATTTTTATTAGAGACAGAATTTCACCATGTTGACCAGGCTGGTCTCAAACTCCTGACCTCAGGTGATCCACCTGCCTCAGCCTCCCAAAGTATTGGGATTACAGGCGTGAGCCACCGTGCCCAGCCCTTTTTTTTTTTTTTTTTTGAGACAGGGTCTCACTCTGTTGCCTACACTGGAGTGCAGTGGCGTTATCTCAGCTCACTGCAACCTCCGCCTCCCAGGTTCAAGCAATTCTTGTGCCTCAGCCTCCGAGTAGCTGGGATTACAGGTGTGTGCCACCATGCCCAACTAATTTTTGTATTTTTAGTAGAGATGGGTTTTCGCCATGTTGGCCAGGCTGGTCTCGAATTCCTGGCCTCAAGTGATCCACCCTCCTCAGCCTCCCAAAGTGCTGGGATTACAGGCATGAACCACTATGCCCAGTTGTGTGGGCTGCTTATTCTTATTTCATACTGGACCTTGCAGATTATATGGCCAGTCCTGAGGGTCTTGAGTCTTCGTGCGTGGGCCATCCACCAGGTACACATCCATCTAGCATCACCCGTCATCCTCATCTTCTGCTGGGTGCCTTGCCATGTGGCAAAGTCAAAGGCCTGTGGTTGAAGTGATCATGGGATGTGGCGCTCAGGAGTGGTGTCCAGCTGGGAGCTTCAGGAATGCCCAAATCCTGCTTCCTGTGAAGTCCCCCAGCGAGATACAGGCACAAAGACACAGACGCACAGGAAACCAACGTGCCACTTGGTTCTGGGAGCCTCTCAGAAAAAACCACAGTAGGCCTGGGGCCTTTTGAGGTCTCTGGGTGACGAGTCCCTCTTGGGATTAGACCATGGTGACTGCTGATCCTGAGCAAGTCACACAAAGCTTCACAACCGTTCCAGATGATAAAACATGGCACTGGGGCCGGATGCCGGTGGGAAGTCCCTCCTTCCGCTCTGGTTTTGTGGTTGCTTGCTGTGTGCTGTTTCCACGAGAGGACAAAGGGGAACTCACCCCCAAAGGTCCCAAAGTAGGTGAGAAAGGTGCAACTGGATGTCACTCTCGGTCCTGCCTCAAGTGAGTCACACAGTTCTGACCGGCTGTGCGGAGGACACCGTTTCTCTTTCTTTCTTTCTATTCTTAGAGACGAGGTCCCGCTCTGCTGCTCAGGCTGGAGTGTGGTGGTGTGATCATAGCTCACTGCAGCCTCGACCTCCTGGGCTCAAGCAATCCTCCCATCTCAGCCTCCCAAAACGCTGGTATTACAGGCATGAACCACCACGCTGGGCCAGAGAGAGCCCACCATTTCTGTGCGAGGAGAGGCAATGAAGGTGTCCCCTCTGCCCTCTGAAATTGCCACCCAGATATGCCCACGGAGCCTAGTTGTGTCTACAGTCAGATACTTCTGGGCTGCCCCTGAGACCAGATGAGTGATGTCACTTCCGAGTCCTGAATTGCCTGGGAAGGTAGGAAGGACAATGAGTGGTGTCTGAAAGTACAGCCCTAGGCACGGAGGGAGAGAACAGTTAGAAGCATTTGACTGATTTTGGTCTCTTTTGTTTTGTTTTTGAGACAGGGCCTCACTCTGTCACCCAGCCTGGAGTGCGGTGGTCTGATCATGGCTCACTGCAGCCTCAAACTCTTGGACTCCAGCGATCTTCCTGCCTCAGCTTCCTGAATAGCTGGGATTACAGGCATGTGCCACCACATTAGGCTAATTTTTTTTTGAAAGATGGGGTCTCACTATATTGCCCAGGCTGGTCTCAAACTCCTGGGCTCAAGTGATCCTTCCACCTCGGATTCCCAAAGTGCTGGGACTACAGGTGTGAGCTACCGCGCCTGGCCTGATCTTGGTCTCTTGATTTTCTGAAAGCTCCATCTCACTGTGACTAAAAGAGTTGAGAGAGGCTGGGTTTCTGTAACTTCTGCAGGTTGTAACATACTCTAAAGGTTCTAAACTATTACTAAGTGGATGATCAATTCCTTAATTTGGGCTTTTGTAAAGTGGGCCAGAGTTCGAGGCTTAGGCTCGAGGTCTAGGGGGACCTCCCCATGCCTGTGCCCAAACACCATGTGGAAGAAGTCAATGAGTCCCAGCAGATGTGAGGAGCAGAAGTGACCCCCGGAAAGGCAGCTGTCCAGCAGGTGCATGACCACAGGCTCCACACGAGCAGACACCATGTCTCTCTGTTCCATGCCCTGTGTCCTTTGCATCCAGCAGAATACCAGTCACCTAGCAGGTGCTCAATAAGTATTTGTGGAAAAAAAAAAAAAAAGAGCCATCTGGTCACTCAGAAGCAGACGACTAGGAGGCGAGTGTGCATGTGTATGGATGTGTGTGCATGTGTGTGCATGTTATGGTGGGCGTGCATGTGGGTGATGTGTGCATGGGTACTTGTGTGCTTGTACCTGTGTGTGCATGTGTGCACACATATGGTGTGTGTGTGGTGAGGGGATAGGTCTTCTGATAGTGACCCTGCCTTCCAGCAAATTTGACCCAGTCACTGTCCTGGAACCTGACCCATTCTGAATGGCAGCCCTCATCTTGGGGCAAAATGGGGAGTGACAGGAGAGAGGCAGCTCTTTCCTCTCCCCGCTGCTAACGGGCGCCCTCCCAGGGCCTAAGCTCCCCTTGACCTGTGTGAGAGTCTGAGAGAAGATGCAAGTCCCCCTAGGGACCCGGCAGGAGGAGAGAAACACAATGTCTTGCCGCCTGGAGTCCAGCGTTGAATGGGGTTCGGGGGACACTTCTATCAGTCCTTGCTTGTATTGCCTCTGCATACCATAGAGCTCCAACATAGCCAAGGACAGTGGGGTTCAAATCCAAGGCCTGCCACTTCTTAGTTGTTTGGTCTTGAGCAAAATTCCCTCTTTTGAGTAGGGGGAAAATTATTACTAGCCTGTTGTGATTATTGAACAGGATCATGAAGTAACACGTGGTGGGCGGCAGCCTCCAAGATGAGAGTGTGGCCAATGAGCCCCACCTCCTGGCTTCATGCCCTGGTACGGTCACCTCCCATACTGAATAGGGCTGGCTTCTGTACCAATTGGATGTTGTGAAAATGACAGTATGATTTCTGAACTACTTTTTTTTTTTTTTGTGACAGGCTCTTGCTCTGTCACCCAGGCTGGAGTGCAGTGGCACAATCGTGGCTCACTGTACCTTTGAACTCCTGGGCTCAAGGAATCTCCCGTCTCAGCCTCCGGAGGACTACAAGTACACACTACCACATCGGGCTATTTTTTGAATTTTTTGTAGAGATAGGGTCTTGCTCTGTTGCCCTGGCCAGTCTTGAACTCCTGGCCTTTATTTTTATTTTTATTTTTTTGAGATGGAGTCTCGCTCCGTTGCCCAGGCTGGAGTGCAATGGCACAACCTCGGCTCACAGCAACCTCCACCTCCCAGGTTCAAGCGACTCCTCTGCCTCAGCCTCCTGAGCAGCTGGGACCACAGGCACGCACCACCATGCCCGGCTAATTTTTGTATTTTTAGTAGGGACGGGGTTTCACCATATTGGCCAGGCTGGTCTAGAACCCCTGACTTTGTGATCCGCCTGCCTGGGCCTCCCAAAGTGCTGGGATTAGAGGCCTGAGCTACCATGCCTGGCCAAACTCCTGGCCTCTTGATCCCAAAGTGCTGGGATTACAGGTGTGAGCCACCATGCCTGGCCTAAACTGCTCTTGAATCCCTGACCCACAGAAACTCAGGATAATCATAGTTCCTTGTTTTGGGTTTTTTTTTTTGTTTTTTTTTTGAGATGGAGTTTCACTCTTGTAGCCCAGGCTGGAGTGCAGTGGCACGATCTTGGCTCACTGCAACCTCTGCCTCCCGGGTTCAAGTGATTCTCCTGCCTCAGCCTCCGAAGTAGCTGGGATTACAGGCACCCGCCACCACACCCAGCTAATTTTTGTATTTTTAGTAGAGATGGGGTTCCACTGTGTTGGCCAGGCTGGTCTCGAACTTCTGACCTCATGATCTGCCTGCCTTGGCCTCCAGTTCCTTGTTTTAAGCTGGTAAATTTTTGGATAGTTTGTTACATGGCAAAGGATGACAAATGCATGTGTGTAGTCCAATGCCTGGAGCACAGTAAGAGATCAATAAATGATAGCAAGGCGCTGTTACTAATCAACCTTCTTCTCTGGAATCATGCTTTGTAACCAGATTGAGATCATTGTGCCAGGCTCCTTCTCTCCTTCAACCGTTCCAGCCAATACAACAAAGGACTGGTCCCATCAGTT
The DNA here is from genome assembly GCF_000001405.40 of Homo sapiens. Classification (NCBI taxonomy): domain Eukaryota; kingdom Metazoa; phylum Chordata; class Mammalia; order Primates; family Hominidae; genus Homo; species Homo sapiens. The sequence continues at coordinate 29,164,262 of NC_000022.11, read as the reverse complement.
TGCCAGGTGTGTCCAGATTCCTCTTTGACTTCAAGAAGGCCCCCCACACCATAGTCAACAGCCGTTTCCATTTTGGACTAGTTAATTGATATCCTGCTTTTGTAAATCTCTTACATCTGGACTGTTCTTTTTAAAATGTAAGGTCCTCAGCTG